>NC_000018.10:51830575-52131242 GCF_000001405.40 Homo sapiens | reverse complement strand
AGAAATTTCAATCCCACATCAACCAAATAAATACTAACAGGCAAGGGCAGGAGGCTTTCCATCAACAAGAAAATGCATTTGCAGAGGAAGCTGGAGAGGCTGGAAATGACAAAGCCATTAGGTAAAAGCTTGGCAACCTTAGTCTTTCCAGAGGTTAGGGATTTCTAAAAATGGTTCATTTTTCATCACAGTTTTTATGAAGCCTTTAGAAAGGAAAAGATGTCTAGTCATGGCAGTTTCTGTAGTTCTGAGGGGATGAGTTTTTTTTTTTTTAATGGAAATTGCTCCTTTTTTGCCCCTCTGATGCATTATGAAATTCGTACACTGTGTGACACCCCTCTCTGTCCAGGCCTGACACTGTGTTTTTATGAGGCATTAATTTCATTCTGCTTTCAGGCTTCAATTAGTGGATCATAATGTTGACTCATCAGAGGAACATGTCTTTACACAGCGTTAAAAATAGTGGAAGTCTGAGCACACATCTTGATTACACATTGTCTAGGGATCCCAGTTTGCCATCCTCTCATTAACAGACCCCCTCCCAAGTAAAGGAAAATGGAATATGGAGTTCGGGAGCAAGCAAATGGGTTCGGACAGATTTACAGACACTAAATGGAATGGAAACTGCAGAACAAAATTTGCACATATTTCAGCTGAAGAGTCAAAGAGAAAGAAAACAGATTTCTCTTTGGGTGATACATAATTTAATTATATATCACAATGCTGACATTTGTCTAGTGTTGTTATTAGTTTTTTTCCCTCAAACTCAAGCAAAATCAAGAGTAACACTTTTATTAAATACATTCTTAAAATTGAATTTTATAATCAGCTCTTAAAGTAGAATATGTTATGAATGTGGGGAATAACTGTCCCTAAATGACAATAAACATTTTAGCAGCAGGTCCTCAGGCTGTGGTGCTCTGTATTCCTGCTGAATTCCCAACATGGAAAACATTTTGGCAGCAAGTCATCAGGGCGTGGCACTTTGTGTACCTGCTGAATTGCCAATATGGAAAAGCTGTTCCATAATCTGCATTTAGACCCATTGACTTGATGCGCTAAATCTGAATATTGTCACTAACATTATTGATACGTGATTCTCAGAAAGAGGGTCTATGAGAACCTTCACAAACTAAACTGATTTACTTTGCAGCCTTAGTGCAGAAATAAACACAGGTCATCCCCAAATCAATGGCATATCTACGTATGTGCAAGAAAAAACCTTATGAAGACTCTCTTTGCAACCCCATCTGAAAGATCTCTGGTCCTCTGAGAAAGTATTTCTACTCACTGCTGGCTCAAGATCAGCTCTGTCTCCAGATGGTGCAGATCCTTGTATTGAGTCTTGCCTCCATACAAATCTGTATCCAGACTGTGCATACAGATTGGACTCATAAATTGTATCCAGAATGTGTATTGCATTTATCCCTATTCTTTTTTTACCCCCTTTTTTTTCCCTAAAATGATTTCCCTGGGACTAAACCTTCCCTACTCAACTTAGAATTAGGCTATTATCAGTTTTTACTTCCCAGCCTGCTCTTTACCCTCACTAGCTCCAAGTACCCCCAGATATCATCGCTGATCTCAACCTGGTATGTCCTTTTGAGAGCTCTTACATTCCTTAACTTCTCTATGTGTACCCTATCCTGTGCTTGGAAATGTAAGAATCAAGGAAAATGTGCTATTTGGTAAATATTCATTGAAGGAAAGAACAAAAGAATGTATGGGTGAATACCAAGAACATTGGCTTTGAAGTAAGGAGACCTAGATTTAAGTCTTAGCTTAACCATACTCTGGTTTCATGATCTTGGACTATGTTCAATTCTGTGAACTTCAGTTTCCTTACTAGAAAAATGGGGATAAGGACCTCCTCTACCTACCTCAACAGTTTTATGAATCTAACAATAGTCTTTGTAAACTATAAAGTGATACAGAAATACTTTACTGTTATTATTAGAAAGATTTTACATTTAGACATTTATTTAATTAATATTCATTGGGTGCTTCTTTGGACAAGATTCTATAAAACCAAAGGTAAATAACAGGTAGTCTCAACCTCCTAAAGGATTTAGTCCACTTAAGAGGTCAACATGAATACAAGAAATCACAGTAAGTTATTTTGTTTAGGGGCATCTGAAGAAGTATGAATATTTCAAGACAGAGAAAAATTCTGTCATTCTGAGCCTGAAATAATGTGCTGTTCTATTTGGTACATAGTTCCCTCTTTTTCCTCCCATACTTCCTCCTTCAATCCCTCTATACTCACACCTGGAAAATTTAGACCTATCTTTTTAACACCCAGCCAAGATACCATCTCTGAGAGTTTAATGTCCCAGTAGCACATAACATGGAATGGTGGCAGAGAAGGCTAAAAATGTGATTACACAATGCCAGATGTGCCTACCACCATGGGGCATAATATAACCAAGACATCGTCACTGGGCAGATGATAGAGTTAACACAGTGATTCATTCAACAAAAAAAGTTAAGACACTTTCTATGTGTCAGGCTCTGTACTAAACTCACAGAAGTTTTCATTTTGTTGAAAGGTGTCAGACTACTAATAAGTGAACAAACTAGTGTATATTTTTGTCAGAATTACACCAAATGGGATATGACAGAGTTATGTTTGAAATTTATAACAAGAGAACATATTGTTTAGGAACTTTCTGTCAACTTGGAATGCATAACCTGAAGAGTTATTCAATGGGATTAGATTCCAATCTAATTCAGAAATACAAACAGGACATAATGTAGCTGAATTACCATAGTCAGAGAATCAACAGATACTGTTTTATATCATTATGTGCTGGACACAGTGCTAGGCACAGGCATACGAAAGTAGGAGGTAAAGACTAAAACACACTCCATGGTGGTAATCATGGAGCTTACAGCCTAATGGGTAAAGCCCAGATTTAGATTTTAAGGACTTGAAAAGTCTTTAACAAATAATTGAGCTCCTCTATCATTATCACTCCATAAGGTAAAGAATACTCTAACAGAAAAATTAGAGAGGAGATTATATCAAAAATTTTTAAATGACCAAACAGCTCTATGTAAAACTGCCTACACTGTTCTTATTTTTCTAATTTCCCTGCTGATCTGAAGAACTTTGCCACCAACTGACATTAGCTTCCGTACTTTGGAGTGAAAAACATTTAGCAAATATGAGGTTTTCTGGATTCCTGCTCTCAAGAATCAAGTCAGTCTGGATGGAAGAGAAAAAGGCAAAATTACTTCTTCCTATTATTATTAATGTAGTGGTATCAGAAAAAAGCTTTGACAATATTACATTTATTTCAGACCTAACCTATTCCCTCCACCTCCCTTTCTGCATCTTCGCTCACCTCCCATCAAACCTCTGGTGCTCTCCAGCTGCTATAAGCCCCATCCCAAAAGTAGTCCTTGTTGTCAAATGACTTATTTTACCCCTTCCAAGTCAAAACTCACTCCCTCTGTGCAACATAAGTCAATTCTTTCAAGAAAAGCAATAAGGTTGAAACAACCCTCCCAGATGTGTTTGCATTTGCAAAATAACTTTTATTGCTTTTTTCTAATTATAAAAGTAATTTATGTTTACTATAGAAAATATAAGAAATATAAGGCAGTATTAACAACAACAATAAAAAAACCTCAAAGCCTGTAGGGCATTTGCATTTCTAAGAGAGAATGTTTGTTGACAGATGTATTTAGTAAATGTAGCTCTATGGAGGGCCTGCAGTATTAGCAAGGGATTGTGATAGGAAGTTTGAGAAAAGCAAAGTGAGGCAGAACTAGATCTTATCCTCAAGTAACTTATAGTGTAGTATCCAAATTATTCCATTATTAATGAATTAAAGGTCAGCAAATGCTGTAAACTTTAAACGGAGAGTGAAACCCTAGCTTTGTGGAATTCTATTTTAAAGCATTAGAAATGAAAGCTCAGCTTTAAAGCTGAGGTCATTGTAGGATGCTTTTAACATGGGTGCTGAGCCTCCTCTACAGAATCTGCCTTCCTTACAAAGCATGAAATAGGTAGAGAAAGAAAAGGGGTATTTACAAATTGTATTTTCCTGAGAGAAATAGTTTATTTTTCTCTTATATTCACTTCCATTCTGGATCTTTCACAAGAATGTGAAGTCAACTAATGAGGTCTAAATTTTCTTCCTTCTACTTCTTCTGTCTCCTATTGTTTTATAACTTATTTTTAATTTGTATAGAGTAGATATCACTCTTTGTGATCTTCAGCTCTATGAGTTTTGACAAATGCATAAGAGTTGTATAAGCACCAAAACAAGACACAGAACAGTTCCATCAATAAGATGGGAATATCTCCCTTTGACCTTTACCTCCTTTTTGGGCAGGAACTAGAGTGGCTCATTTCACTCAGCCTGCAGTCTGTGGATGGCTAAGTGTTAACAGCTCAGTAAAGGGTCAGGGTGTCAGCCTCCTGAACCTGCCCTGTTTGACACCTGAGTTCTTGTTTGGAGTCCAGGAAGAATCAGGTCACACGAACTGTTGGAAAGATGATGAATTCAGAAGAATTTATTGAGCAGTGAAAGTGGCTCTCAGTGGAAGGGGAGCTGGAAAGGGGTTGGTGCAGGAAGAACGTGTTCTTTCTCTGAAGCCCAGCCACATATGGCTCGGCTCCCCTCTGCAAACATAAGGTCCCTGAAGTTCAGTTGCTTCTCTGCTCACTGCTCAGCCCAAGGCTCAGCAGATTGTGTTGCTCTTTTTTCTTCCTTATTTTTTCTGCCAGCTGGTCTTGTTTTTATGGGGTCAGGATACAGGGTGGGCAGGCCAAAAAGGCAATCATTTGGGTGGAAAAAATGGGGTCAGCTGCTTTCACTTAGGGCCAAGTTTCCAAGCTCGAGAGTGCAGTTTAGCCGGGAGCCCAGTTGTTCTTTATTATCAACACTGTTCCCTGCAAATTACCTTGTGCTGCCTGTTTCAATCAAACTTCCCCACCCCCACCTGACTGCAACCTTTGGCAACCTCTAATCTGTACTCCATCCCTGTAGTTTTGCCTTTATAGGATGTCATATAAATGAGCCTGGCTTCTTTCACCCACCATAATGCATTTGAGATTCATCTATCTTGTTGAATACATCTGTAGTTAGGCTTGTTACTCACAGAACCCCTAAGTCAACTCCACAGAAGCCACGATACAGGTGAGATTGTCTAGGATACCTCTGTGGAGGAGCCTCTCATCTAATGAACTGAATCCCTGTGACGTACGTGGAAGACAAGGTATTTGAGAATTTTATACCATCAGAAATACTGCCAGCTTGGATCAAAAGGGACAGAGAGGACACGATAAACAAAGGCTGTCAACCCCCTTGTTGGAATTGCTACATTCAGGAAATAAATAAGCTGATAAAACAACTCAGTGGAAAATACATGCTGCCCTTCATATAAAATAAGGAGTGACCCTAAGGGTGGGGCTTTGAGCCCGGGGCAGAGTGTTAAAGCACAGAGGATTAATTAAAGGCTTTGAAACCTAATGGAGTTTGCCCAGTGATATTTCAAAATTACCTGAGAACAATGTGTCTTTATTCCCTTCAATTTTCTCCCTTTTCAAAAGGAAATGTTTGGAACTGCTACTCTATGCCTGCCTTCCTCTGCCATTGTATTTTAGAAGCAGATAACTTCTTTTTTGGTTTTCCATAGGTCCACGGAGGAAGAGAAATTTTGCCCCTGGCTCATACCCAGAGTTTCACCCTCTTCTGATTTAGATCATGAGATTCGGGACTCTGAGTTGATGAGATTTAGACGAAAGTATGGACTTTGAGTTCATGCTGTAATGGATAGGGACTTTTGTGAACCTTGGAATGGGATGAAAATATTTCACATGCGGGATGGCTGTGAATCTTTGGGAGTCAGAGGAAAGACTATGTAGGCAGAATAGTAGCCTCCTAAAGATACCCGTGTCTCAGAAACCGTGAGTTAGTTACTTTACATAGCAAAAAGGACTTTGCAGATATGAATAAGTTAAGGATATTGAAATGAGGAGCTCATTTAATCCCAAAGGTCCTTGTAAGAGGAAGGCAGGAAAGTCAGAGCCAGGGGAAATGTTAACATGGAAGAAGTCAGAGGCTTATGGCATGAACCAAGGAATATAGCAACTTCTAAAAAGCTGGAAAAGACAGAAAACAGGGCCTACATAAAGAATGTAGCTCTCACAGTCATGGTTAGGCTTTTTCCAATCTTCCTGTTTCCTAGCTTATAAAGGTATTTGCCTGTGTTTTCTTCTGGCGACATGTATGGTTTCATTATTTTATTTTATTTTGTTTGAGACAGAGTCTCACTTTGTTGCCAGGCCGGAGTTCAGTGGCGTGATCTTGACTCACTGCAACCTCCACCTCCCAGGTTCAAATGATTCTCCTGCTTCAGCCTCCTGAGTAGCTGGGACTACAGGCGCGTGCCACCACACCAGGCTAATTTTTGTATTTTTAGTAGAGATGGGGGTTTCACCATATTGGCCAGGATGGTCTCGATCTCCTGACCTCATGATCCGCCCACCCTGGCCTCCCAAAGTGCTGGGATTACAGGCATGAGCCACCACGCCAGGCCTCATTTTTTTTTTTTTTTACATTAATATCACTGTGTCATTTGGAACTTATCTGTATGGATGAAGTAACAGAAAGATCTTTTTCAAATGTCTTACCAATTGTCCCAAAATCTTGTATTAAAAGGCCTACATTTTCTCAATTGGTTTGAGATGTCACATTTATTAGACACAAAAATTTTATATGTATTTTGTCTGTTTCTAGAATTTTGATTCTGTACCCTTTGCTTTTCATCTGTTCATGAGCTAAAATCATGACATTTTAATTATACAGGTTTTATAATGTTTTAATATTTGATATGGCTAGCACCTACATATTATTTTTCTATTTTATTGTTTCCATAACTACTCTTGGATGCTTATTATTCCATTTTAACTTTATAAATAACTTATCTCCATAAAAAAACCTGACTGTGTTAACATTTTACATTAAGTTGACATTATTATGATGTTTATTCTTCCAGTCCCAGGACATTTTTATTCACATATTATTCTTCATTTTGTATCAGTTTGTACTAATTTAAATGATTTATGAATATTCAGAGAATACTGACACCTACAAGAATGGTTAACCCTATGATAAAAGGAAAAAACATCTTTCTCCTTTGACATATTCTGGCTGGCTCACCAAGTTATAGGAAAATCCTTTCTTTTTCTCCTACTTTCATCTGTGTCTTCAAGAGGTAAATGCCTTAACATTTATATGATTGAGTTAGGGCCAGGGTGCTTCTACTTTCAAAATGTAGGAGCTGATCCAATAGTAGTCCAAGATTGGCAAAATGTCTTTGTTAAATGAGAAACCTCATCAGGTCTCCATTAATTCACATGTTTCCAAGTGTAAGCAAAATGTTCTATTTCCTAAAAGTGAGAGGCTCTCTGTTTTCCCTAAGGCCACTTTTTCTAAATCTTCTCAGCTTCTTCCTTTTCTTGTTTCTCTCCAAAGACACCAAAGTAGGGTTTGTCAGACAATCTGCACCACTACTGCATATAATAATCGTTCTTGGGATCCTGTGATTGACATTTTGGCATACAGTGTCACAAGGCCATGTTAACAGACTACGTTTTTTACTGACTACAAACCCCAACATCTATGCTTTGTTTCCTGCCCAGTTGGAGACACCCTAACCTACCAATTTTTCATCACTATAGTAATCAAGACTCATACCCATGCTTCCTCCTCTCTCCTTATGCCCCCTGACTAAGCTTGTGCCTCCTTATGTGGCCTTGTGTGGCATGGTGCACCTTCTCATCTTGGAAACTGTGGGTAATAAGCTCTTCTTTCAAAAGCAGTTATCTCTGTGTCTGCCTTCTTACTATACCCGATTAAAACAAACCGTTTAAAACATGAGAATCTGCTTTCCTTCTGCTCTGGGAGCTCTTTGCCATTCATCTCAGATATTGTTCACCATTGCCTTTGCTTGTAGGTTTAATGGCAGTGGAATTATTTGTTCTCATAATGATGTTGACATAGCTTTTGTTGTTGTTCTGTTTTTGATTTTGCTGTTGCTATTTATAGTCTCTCTACATTTTCGCTATCCCTTGATCTCGGGTGCTGATATAGTAATGCAAAAGGCAAATCCACTTTTATAAACAACCACGGAATTTGTATGCCCCATAGTAATAAGGAAGGTTATTTTAGTATTATCTTAGAGTCCCCGTCTTTCCTGGGCACATAAGTGCCTCTAAGAGAACTGAGCTAATAATTTCTGTTCTACCTTGTGTTTTGTGACTACCTTCTGTTCTCTTCCCACAGCCAAGCCTAGTTTCTTAGTCTGAACTGTCATGCCTAATAACTTTCTTAGTTCAGGTGGCTTTTTCTTCATGGAGGGTCAGTTGTACATATCATCCACCTGCAATCTAGCTTTTATGTCCACTACACTCTCTTGCTCACTAAACTTAGTTGTTAATATCTGAAGCCCAACTATTAATGAGGCTCAAATTATCTTTCAATACGAGTTCTGGAACTTTACACATAAGTGGACTAGGCTAAGCACTATTAGAAGCTGAAGTTTACTGACTCCAAGAATCAGCCTATCCTAGCCTCAGATCTTACCCAACTGGAACCTATACCTTGTAGTCATTCATTTTGTACAATGATTTTTATATATCCATGTTATAATTTCTTTGAACTAATTATAATTACAATAGATATCTGTACCATGTATAAATTATGTGGGGTCAAATTATTCTACTAAAAATTGGCAAAAGTGTCTCTAGTTTTCATAAATTATTATGCTAAAACCAAAATTGCTTAAGGCTAAGGGTGAACTTTTCGTTTGTGTTTCCAGTTAAAGGTCATGACTTAAGAATCAACTAGAGGTTATGAGACATGAACAGCTGGCTATAGAGATTATGTCAAAGAAAATAATATGCTTTTTTTTAAGATCATGACTTATGACACCAAAATGAAATGCTCTTGGCAAGGAATAGAGTTTATCTCATGGGACCTGAGAAGAATATATTTTCTAGGAGACTTGCCAACAGGATAAAGAGAGATTTCAATTGAAGATTGAGAAAAGAGGGGGGAAATGCACAGCTTACACTATAAAATACTGCCCTTGGAGGTTATTAGGTATAAATTAGCTGGGGGGGACAGAAGCAATGGAGAAGATGCCAAGTAATTTATAAAAGGAAATAACAGAGAATAGAATCATAGGGTAAATCTGACATCTTCAGAGTGACTATAGCAATGAAAGAAGTATGTGTAATAAACAAAATGAACTTGAGACATTTAACCCAGTGAAATCCATACAAGGTCATGAATGCCACTGAGAGTTGGCAGGATTGTTGACAAATGATGATAAAAGGAGAAAATATCCAGCTTTAAGGGAAAAGATATCACACAGAGAAGGAAGTATTGGGGAAAAGGACAGCTCTATATTTCAAGAATGTCTAAACCTAAATGGAAGCTCAGGAAGCTAGATCAGAATATCACACTGTCAAACATTTGGATGAGGATGCAGGAATGCCAAATATACATGGTACTGTAACTGTGCCAATCAGAGATAGGAGTTAGCCATAGCATAAGAGGAAGAATGCCATCATGTGTTTGAGGAACATGACTGTCACCTGCTAGCAACTTACTCTTCCAGGAGGTCAAACACATCACAAGATTTTTCAATCAGGATGAATAGAGGCAGGAGGAATAGTGAGAAAAGAGGTTAGGTAACGAGTTGTGGGGATGTGAAGGTTAAAGAGAATAAGGCACACTTAATAAATGATTCTTCCTCCATTATATTCTACCCAATGCCATATCCCTGAACCCACCTAATACATCAGCTCAGCTGTCCACATTCCCAGTGCACTAGCCTTGATTCTGGGCCATATTCTAAACACTACTTTCAGTTTGGCACTTCATCAATATCAATCCACCCCTAATCTCTCCAGCCTAACAAAATAGAGTTCATTTTTCAATTAAATCACGGTCTCAGCTTCAAACGGTGGCTCAGCTTCAAATAGTGACTCAAGAACCTAAGCTACTTTGGTCTTGTCTTCTGCAATCTAGCATCTTCAAGGTCACCCTGGTATCATCTAGTCCAATCTTGTCCAACCCATGACCCACAGGGCCACATGTGGTCCAGGATGACTTTGAATGCAGTGTAACACAAATTCATAAACTTTCTTAAAACATTTTGAAACTTTTTTGTGTTTGTTTTTTTTAAGCTCATTGGCTATCATTAGTGTATTTTATGTGTGGCCCAAGACAATTCTACTTCTTCCAATATGGCCCAGGGAAGCCAAATGATTGGAGACTCCTGAATTCTAGTCAGTAAATGATGAAAAGAGAGTTTGGGGTACCCCAGACTCCTTACTTCACCATCTAGGCCTGGAATTATAGGCAACTCTTTTGTTTATAATCCATTGATAAAATCTAGTGACATAGCCTCATCTAGATGCAAAGGGTAGAGGGACTGTATACTCTGACTTGGCAACTTCTTTCCAGCAACAGTTCTATCAATGGAAGGGGAACAAATGTTTGACTGTCCGTGAGTTACTCTCTGTCACTAGAGAAGTTCACATGGAGCCATGAATGATTGACGTCACCTTGGCCTCTACACTTTTGGATGAACAGGGAGTCAATGATTGATGCCAACTGTGTACCAAAAGAAGGATCCTTTTAAAAAGAAAAAAAATTAAATAAATATTAAACTTTAATAAAGATACCCATGGTGATATAACTTAGAAGAAATGTATTAAATTGTAATTTACTTCAAAATACATCAAATTTAAGATAAATGGATGTATAAAGACAGGAATCAGTAGATGGTTAGATATGCAACTAATCTAGTAAAATATTAATGATACAGGTAGTGAATTTATGGGCATTTACTCAAAATTCTACAAACTTTTCAATAGGTTGGACATTTTTTATAATAATATGTTGAAAGAGAAAGAATAAGGTCTGACCAGATACTACCAAAATACAACCTGAGGTTTAGAGGTGTATTTACATATATACAATTAATTTGAGGTGTATTTACATATGTAAATTACATATGTACAATTTACTATGTACAGACGATTCCCTTTATAAGTTTTATCACCTCCCAAAACTTGGTGGGGGTGCCTTTCTTTGGGGTAACTTATTTTCTTCTTCACAGAGGTTTTATATTTTGCTTTTCTCCAGAATCAAATTGATGGTAAAGCAGAGAGAACAGAAATGTTATATATACAGTAATGTGTACAGTCCAGCAACCTTTAATGATTTTTCTGGAACTGCCTCAGAATATGTGAGGTAAGGCATGCTTACACATGCATATAAGACCAGGGTTTCATGGTATGATTTAGCCCCTTGGTCTTCTACAGGGAAACTCACACTTTTCAAGTACAGGCTAGGAATGAGCAAAATGTAATTCTCTTGCTTTATCTACTGTTTTTTTTTCTTACCATTTCTTAATATTATTATACTATGTCAATAATCCCTGATAGCCACAAATAGTGGCTCCCACCTGTAATCCCAGCACACTGGGAGGCTAAAGCAAGAGGATCACCTGAGGCCGGGATTTCAAGACCAGCCTGGGCAACATAATGAGAGTTTGTCACTACAAAATATAAATAAATAAATAAATATCAGCTGGGCTTGGTGGCACATGCCTGTGATCCTAACTACTTGGGATGCTTGAGGATCCTCCCTGCAGGAGGATTGCTTGAGTCCAGGAGTTGGAGATTGCAGTGAGCTATGATCAGGCCACTAAACTCCAGCCTGGGCAACAGAGCAAGATCCCATCTCTAAAAAGAAAAAATAATAATACTCCATTACACCACACACACACACACACACACACACACACACACACAGAAGCATTTCTGTAGGCACTGGTTCTAGGAAAAAGATTCCTCATCTTCACTACATTCTCAAAAAGCATTCATGATATAAAGTTTGCAAACTCCTGTTATGAATGTTTATCTGGTAAGGTTTGGCTGTATGTAAATAACATATCAGAGATTAGTTGTGATGGAACAGCAGAGGGTACTGGGAGGCCAGAATCATGAAGGCAAGTAGCGTGAGTATGTAGAGGAATGAAAAGAGTTTAAGAGGAGAGATAAAAGTGCTGGCCTTACTCCTCAGTTTTGCCTAGAGTTAGTCCTAGATCTCATACAAAGGCAATCTAACCTGACTCAGACCCTCTACTTAGGAGCAAAATTATCAACAATTTCTTGTGTATCAGGACAAAAAGGAGAAAGAATAGCTACTTTAAAACTGCAGCTGTTTTGTCTTCCTCAGTATATGTGTGTGCCTGAAGCAGGTGATTGCAGGTCCTGGTGAGAGAGGCAGCAGCAGCAGTGAAGGGAGATGCTGTTTTTAGAGAAGGCACCCTGTGGGGCCTGGTCCAGATAGACCAGTAGGCAGACTTCCTTTTCTGGTTAAGTTGACCACTGAGCAGTTTGAAAGCTGGTGGTTGAGAAAGTAAAGTAAAAACTGCTTCACATAATAATAGAAAAGTTCTTTCTTCATTTGGAAAGTGAAATCTTTACAGACTATGTTAATTTAGGAAGCCACTTTTTTCCTTTATTATTATCTTGGAATTACTGCTTGGAGTCTTCTTTGTGTGTATGTTATGCATGTGTGTGTGTGTGTGTGTGTGTGTGTGTGTGTGTTGTTCAAAGACTTCTCTCTGAACACTAGGTCTTGAGGCTGGAAGATGGCAGAAAGAAGCAGTGATGTATTGAACTCACACGGGGAGAGGTACTTACCCAAACACAATTGGACTTTGAATTTCAAAGCCCATAAAAGGTATCATTAGAAGTCTCCTGTGACCTCTTTGTGAATATATTAGACCCTAGAAAATGTTCTGCAGTGAGTTGCTATCACCAAAAAATAGTGGAAGGAATGACTGAGCAGAAGACGGATCTAAAGCATAAAAAGGCTTTCTTGAAGGGTATGAGATCAACAGTGGAACGTTTAAAAAAAGGGTCTATCACTCTATGGATCAATCACACCTGAACTGAACATATCCATGAAGAGGGTTGTCAGATTTAGAAAGAAAAAAAAGGATACCTAGTTGAATATGAATTTCAGATAAATAGTAAATTTTTTAGTATAAGTATATCCCATGCAATGTTTGGGGCATGTTTACACTAAAAAAGTGTTTGTTATTTATCTGAAATTCACACTGAACTGGCATTCTGCACTTTATCTGGCAACCCTACCATGAGAAAACTCCTATTTTTCTTTTCTCTTTGACTTTGAAAACAGCCCTAAGTATCATCTGCCTTCAACTTTCCACCATGATGTTTAGTTTGTTCAAGATATGTTCACACCATTAGTGATCATGTAATGCACACACACAGCAGCCATATGTTGGTGTTGCTGAGGATAAGTTAAGAATAAAAGGATGAGCTGTAGAGACCCTGGAGGTGAGGCCAGGGTGGGTGGGTCAGCACCTGCTTGCTGCACACTCCCCTGCTGAGGCCATGCAATCTTTTGGGAAAGTAGTGACCATAGTCTGGGTAAGGACCCACAGAAAAGCAAACAGAACTCTACAGCAGAGCTCAAGCCACAGCTGGGGATCTGGTGACAGCAGATAAACAAAAGAGAACCTCAAAAGGGAGTAAATTCTAGCTCCTTCTATTGTGGGGCTGAAGCCACCAGGCACCAGGCAACTGAGCCAAACTCATCATTTTAATTGATAATGTAGCTTCTTTTCTACTCTTCAAAAAAGTTTCCATATGTCACAAATGTTGCCGAGAAAGTCTTCTTTCCATTTAATGGAAGTTATTTTCTAGCTGAATACTATAGACCTGTGTTGTCCAATACAATAGCTACTAGCCACAGGTGATTATTGAGTACTCAAAAAGTAGCCAGTCAGAACTAAGATATGCTGTAAGAGTAAAATATGCATTGGATTTCAAAGACTCAGTATGATAAAACAAAGGTAAAATAACTCCATAATTTTATATTGATCAAATGTTGAAAAAATACCACTTTGGATATGCTGATTTAAGTAATGGAAGTATTATTAAAATTAATTTCATCTATTTCTTCTTACTTTTTTTCACATGGCTACATGTACATTTATAATTTTAAATTGTATTTCTGGCTCACAGATGTCTTTCTATTGGACAAAGCTATTGTAGACTCTATCGGTAGACTGTCAGAATGAGATAGAAATGATCTAAAAAATGATCTACTTTAGTTCTGTAATTTAGCTGGTAAGAAAAGCGAGACCCAGAAAGGTGAAGTGCCTGTTCAAGATCACCAAGCTAGTTAATGACACAGGACTACAACTGGAGTCATGACATTTCAGCGTGTTCTAATTTTCTATACTACTTCTCTAATGTTTAGTACAGTCACAAGTGGCAAAATGACATTTTAGTCAATAAAGTATCACATATATGATGGTGGCCTCATAAGATTATAATGGAGCTGAAAAATTCCCATCCCCTAGTGACTGTAGCCATTGTAATGTTCTAGCACAATTACTTAATAAGTTTAGTGTAGCCTAAGTGTACAGAGTTGATAGTCTACAGTACTATACAGTCATGTGCTAGGCCTTCACAGTCACCTACCACGTGCTCACTTCTTTACCCAGAACAAGTTCCGATCCTGCAAGCTCCATTTAAGGTAAATGCACTAAACAGGTGTATCATTTTTAAGTTGTTTATACTGTATTTTTACTGTAGCTTTTCTATGTTTAGGTATGTTTAGATACACAAATGCTCACCATTGTGTTACCATTGTCTGCAATATTCAGTACAGTGACCTGCTGTATAGTTTTGCAGCCTGGGGGCAGCAGGCTGCACCATATAGCCTCAGTATGGAGTAGGCTCTGCCATCTATGTGCTCTGTGATATGCACACAATGCCAAAATCACCAAAGCATGCATTTCTCAGAACATATCTCTGTCGTTAAGCAATTTATGACTACATTTCAATTTGTTAAAATTATACATGTGCAAGAAAAATTGTAAAGTTTGGAAGGATCTTGAAACATCAAAGCAATTATCCTGCATGATCTAGGAAGTTTAACTTAATAAGAATTTTACTTTGTCTTGTCCAAATGAAAGTACTGTAAGCGATGGATTTTAAAATAAAATACTGTCCTTAAGAATGTACTTAATGGCCAGGCACAGTGGCTTATGCCTGTAATCCCAGCAATTTGGGAGGCCAAGGTGGGAGGATTGCTTGAGCCCAGGAGTTTGAGACTAGCCTGAGCAACATAGCAAGACCTCATCTCCACAAATAGTAATAAAAAAAGTTGCCTGGTGTGGTGGTGTGTGCCTGTGGTCCCAGCTACCTAGGAGGCTGAGATGGGAGAATCCCTGAGGCCCGGGTGGTCAAGCCTGCAGTGAGCTGTGATTGAGCCACTGTACTACAGCCTGGACAACAGAGCAAGATCTCATCTCAAAAAAAAAATGACTTATAATAGTGATCATTTTATTGTGAATGAAACTACCTTATTAAAATACAAACATATCACAAGCAGTGCTTGAACTACACGTTAAAATAGTTTTCATATGTGGCCTCTTATTAGAGGTAACTAGAGCTGGACCTAAAAGCAAACATACGAAGTCTGGTAGAGTCTGCAACAGCATTTCTCCTTAATTCATAGCCCACACCCTGTAATTGTGGCCATTTCAAAACTGCAAAGCTCTCCTCGTCTCTCCATCTGTACATTTCCCTCACCCTTGATGTACTATTAAAATAAGAAATTATCAGATATCATAGCATATGTAATAGCATCACAGGTGTCCTAAATTTTTTCTCTCTCATTGTGGAATTTTGTGAAATGATCCAGGTAGAAATCAAGCAATGTTGTCCTTTAAGGCAGATTCTAAGCAGTAAAAAAAATTAAAGACAATTGTGGAAATCAAACAACAAGCCATGTTACATGTTTCATTGTCCATATACTCACTAGGATACCCTCCCCTGCCCACTCTCCATGTCCTATTTCTTCAGTGGGGTCTTCATCCACATGAATTAACACATGGACTTATAATACATCAAGCACTATTCTATGTGCTGGGAATATTTAGTTAACAATTCTGGTACTGTCCGTCCCCTCAGGAACTAACGTTCTTTTTTGTTGTTGTTGGTTTTCTTTTTGTTGTTTTTTGTTTGTTTGTTTTGCTTTTTGAGATGGAGTCTTGCTCTGTCGCCCAGGCTGGAGTGCAATGGAGATACCTCGGCTCATTGCAACCTCTGCCTCCTGGGTTCAAGCAATTCTCTTGTCTCAGCCGTCCTAGTAGCTGGGATTATAGGCGCTTGCCACCATGCCCAGCTAATTTTTGTATTTTTAGCAGAGATGGGGTTTCACCATGTTAGCTAGGCTGGTCTCGAACTCCTGACCTCCAGTGATCTGCCCGCCACAGCCTCTCAAAGGGCTGGAATTACAGGCGTGAGCCACTGCACCCAGCCCAGGTGTTAACCTGCTATGGCTGCTCGCCTGATTTCCTTACCGCTGAAGTGCAGTGCTGGAATTTCCTTCCTTTCTTGCCTTGGCCTCATGCTCCTGACACTCATTCCTAGATTGACTGACTCTACTCTCCGGGTCTTGAACGTGTTTGTTCCAAATGAATGGGTTCTGATCAACTTGGCCTATAGTCCTGTCCCCATTCTGTGATGACCTTAGGGTCATTGGCACTCATAAATTATAGGAGGATGAAGTACTTTTTTCCATGTTCCACATTAGAAGACCTCTAAAATCTAGGCCTAGCCCTCTCCTTGCTGTTAGGCTAGAGGAGCCTCTGTCCATTGTTATGAACCAAGCCTTCCAATATCTGCGATCTCTGCCCGGACACAGGGACACCAGCTTTCCCTTTCTGCTTGCCTCTTCAACATCCCCTTCCTCCTTCTTTGCCTGAGCACTAGGACTTCTCTTACTGTCTCTGCCTTTATCTTAGTGAATCCCTGTCTGCCTTGAGACCACAATGCAGATTTCATGTCCACTGCTGCAGCGGACATTATTTCAGCTGGTACTTAATGATTTCTTTGCACCTTAGTGCATTCTTCCCCAGCTGACATTTAAGCACAGATTCTTATGCCTTCTGTGTCAGGGAATGAGATTTTGGAGAAATATGAATGTAATCAGAATACATCATTTTTGATAACCCAGGTATTACCCAATTACAAACTCAGGGCTTTTAGAGGTTTCATTTCAAATCAATACCTGCTCCTTAATTAAAATGATCCCATAAGCATTTTCCTATTTAAAAGAGTAACATGAAATATTAATTACTTATATTGGAAGTAAACAACTGAAAGCTAATAAATTTACAAATTCATTTACCACAAAAACTATCAAATGTCTTTTTGTTTAATTGCAATGGATTCCCCTTTAGACATCATAATAGAATTAATAGAACATTCTGGTAATCAATAAAAATTGATTAATTCATCAATCAGCAAAACATGGTTAGATTCTTCAACCTCCAGATGCCAGATGTTATTATTTATACCCAAGCAGTGCCAGAGCATGTACCTAGCAAACAGATATGAGAGACACAACATCAGGATAGAGGGAAGACATTTGGACATTATCCAAAGTTCAGTGTGGGGTGATGTGGCTTTTGCATATATATGGAGCATGTCACCCTTGAAGGGTAAGCATTATGCCGCTCATTAATATATTATCAAGGTCTCTTCCTAAGGGAAAGAAACACAGTCATCCTTCACAGATGAGCTATTACATTTATTCCTGAGGATTTATTAAAAATTAACATTCTATCAGTTTACATTTTTGATACCTGCCGGCACCTAAAAATGCAGTGATTGGCCCAAAATTTTTTAAAAAGGTTCTGAATATGTAAGGACCTCCAAAATAAACATGACCCTCCCCCTTTCCCAAGGTAAAGCCTCCTTTTTCAGTCCATCCTTCTAAGTTCCCTCCAGTTTTCTGCTTACCATCGGCACATGTTTTATGTCACATGTGGAACCCACAAGCCCTTCAAAAGCAAGATCTATTTTTTGAGGCTGGAAGGTATTAATGCCATCATACAAACAGTCTACACTGTAGGTTTACAAAGTAGTTATTATTTAAAAGAAAATATGTGCATAATTATTTCTTTAATATTGTCTCTTCCCTGGGATTATAAACTCGGTGAGAGCAGAGATTGGACCTCTACTGCCTAGTACCATTCCTGAGCACACACATGTCCAGACCAATAATTATAAGAATATATATTTTTGTTTTATTGAGGTATAATTAACAAACACAATTTGTATATATTTAAGGTGCACAATTTGCCATTTTGATATATGTATATATTGTAAAATAATCACCAAGTGAATTAACATATCCATCACCTCATATAGTTATTATTTTCTCTTTTTGTGGTGAGAACACTTAAGATTTACCATTGTAGCAAATTTCAAGTATATAATACAGTTCTGTTAGCAATAGTCACATTACTGTTACTGTATATTACATCCCCAGGACTTATTTACCCTGCATGACTGAAAATTTTTGCCTTTTCACCAACATTTCCCTGTTCTCCCCTTCTTGTAGACCCTGGCAACCACCATTCTACCCTCTACTGCTATGAATTTGGCTTCTTTAGATTCCACATATAAGTGAGATTATACAAAATTTGTCATTCTGTTTCTGGCTTATTTCCCTAAGAATAATGTCCTCCAAGTTTATCCATGTTGTCACAAATGGAAAGACTTCCTTCTTCTATTATTGCTAACCAACATTTCATTGTGTGTGTATATATATCTGTGTGTATAAATGATATGGTTTGAATATGTGTCCCTTCAAAATCGCATATTGAAATATGGTCTCTAGTGTTGGAGGTGGGGCCTGGTGGGAGGTGTTTGTATTATGGAGGCAGATCCCTCATGAATGTCTTGGGCTGTCCCTTTGGTGATAAGTGGGCCCTTTGTTCTGAGTTCACAAGAGATCTGGTTGTTTAAAAGTATTTGGTACCAGCAGGCACAGTGGCTCACGCTTGTATTCTCAGCACTTTGGAAAGCTAAGGTAGGTGGATCACCTGAGGTCAGGAGTTCGAGACCAGCCTGGCCATCATGGTGAAACCCCACCTCTACTAAAAATACAAAAATTAGTGGTGTTGTGTGCCTGTAATCCCAGCTACTCAGGAGGCTGAGGCAGGAGATTCGCTTGAACCCGGGAGACAGAGGTTGCAGTGAGCTGAGATTGCACCACTGCACTCCAGCCTGGGTGATAGAGCAAGAATCTGTCTCAAAAAAAAAAAAAAAAAAAGAATAGTATTTGGTACCTCTTCCATCCTCTTGCTCCTGCTCTGGCCATGTGACATTCCTGCTCCCACTTTGCCTTCCACCTTGTGTAAAATCTCCCTGAGGTCTCCCAAGAAGCCCAGCAGATGCCAGCACCATGCTTGTACAGGCGCGAAACTGTGAGCTAAACTTCTTTTCTTTATAAATTACCCAGCCTTGGGTATTACTTTATAGCAACACAAGAACAGCCTAAAACATATGTGTGTGTGTGTGTGTGTGTGTGTGTGTGTGTTTGTGTTTAGATACACATACCATATTTTCTATATCTATTTATCCATCATCAAATTCCATCAGATTCTCATGAGAACCCTTTGTGGTAGGTAAATGTAGAAACTCTCATAACCAACCTTTACTTAACCAACTGTGTGAGTGACGCTTTTAGCTTCAAGTCATAGAAAATCTCAATTCAAAATAGTATAAGCAATATCAAATTTCTTTTCTCACCTATCAAGCAGTCCAGAGGTATGGTGAGTTCCAAGGCTGGCTGACTGCAGCACACGATGACATCAAATTCTCTCATTTCTTAGGACATGATCTCATGCCACCATGCTGTGTGTGTCTGCATTGCCATTGGGCTGGCTGTCATCAGGGTCTCGCAATGGCTGCCCCAGTTTCAGGTCTCATATCTAGACAGGACAGTTTAGGAGACCACTGTTCAAATAGAAAGGCCAAGATGAGCAGAAAGCAGCAGGGGTAACATTATCAGTAGACAGTAAATGACTAATAGGTAACCAACCTTTAAGCAAAATAATCTGTTCCTACACCTAAAGGGTCCCAGAGAGTAATGTAGCCTGCCTCAGTTGGTTTGGGTTGCTATAACAAAAATGCCATGGACTAGTTTAAATTATGAAATTTATTTCTCGCAGTTCTGGAGGCTGGGAAGGCCAAGATCAAGGTGCTGGCTGATTCATTTCCTGGTGAAAGCCCTCACCCTGGTTTGTAGATAGCCTCCTTCTTGCTGTATCTTCACATGGAAGAGAGAAAGAGCTCTGCTTCCTTCATTGCTTTATAAGGACAACAATCCCATAATGGGGGCTCTACCCCCCATGACTTCATTCCTCAGAAGTCAGACCTCTGAAAGCCCACCACATTGAGAATTAAGGCCTCAACATCTGAATTTTGGAAGGGACCCAAACATTTAGTCCACAGCACAGTCCAAAGCTGGCCACCTGCCATCATTAGGATTTTCAAATAAGACTAAATCCTTTACATCGTCTCCTACATTAAATACCGTGAGACTTCAGGGACTCATAAGTAGTACTTCCTCAGGAAAAGTGAGATACCTCTGAGCTATCTCAGAGGGTAAGACAAACTGATTACAGGGCTATGACAGCTTTATGAGACTATAGCCCAGGCAGGAAAAAGCCACCTCCAGGGAAAGCAACACTGAACAGGGGCTGCTGCTGAGGATGGACTTGCAGAAGCCACAGTTACACGGCTGCTGGATGACGAGGTAGAGAGCAAGAGGAAGAGGCAGGAGGGGCAGACAGTACCTAAAGTCTTATGCTTGTCAGGGGTCTGCCAAGACCCTCTGCAGATGCTCACTTCCCAGCAGGACCCTCTCAGACAGATCTCTGCCCTCTTTATTGTGTTGGGGAAGTCAATGCTAGTCAGCTGAGGAAAGCAGCTATTAGATATATTGACTCTATGGAAGGGAAGAAATTATTGGACCTTCCATAGTTGCTTATATTCCCTTTAAAACTAGGCAAAACTGGCCAGGCGCAGTGGCTTACGCCTGTAATCCCAGCACTTTGGGAGGCCGAGGCGGGTGGATCACAAGGTCAGGAGATCAAGACCATCCTGGCTAACATGGTGGAACCCCGTCTCTACCAAAAATACAAAAAAATTAGCCGGGCGTGGTGGAGAGCACCTGTAGTCCCAGCTATGCGGGAGGCTGAGGCAGGAGAATGGCGTGAACCCGAGAGGCGGAGCTTGCAGTGAGCCGAGATCGCGCCACTGCACTCCAGCCTGGGTGACAGAGCAAGACTCCATCTCAAAAAAAAAAAAAAAAAAAAAAAAAAAAAAAAAAAAAACACACACACACACACAAAACTAGGCAAAACCAATAAGGCAATAAGGTCAGTGGAAGTACACTATTTCATGGGGTCAAAAGTGGCAGTTATGTTCTATTTTAAACAACTGTGAAAATGCTATAGGTCAAAAGGACAGCCCCCCAGCCAAGCACAAAATGCCATATTTATTTTCTAACTACGAGAAATTAATATTTGCAGCATCTACTACCATTTGTGCTTGTGCCAGTGTTGGAAAATTGACAAGCCATTTTCAAGAGCTAGCAAACTAAGTATTTATTGGGCACCCACTGAAGGCTTATACTGCAACAGGGTCTGTGGGAGACACGTGAAAAGGTGAGCAGCATATCCTCAACCCTGAAAAAAGAAACCCAAATTTGAGTCATTAAAATCAATTTCAAAACAACCACTATAAAGCAATGTAAGGCAGTATCAAATTGTAGGGTACTGACCATTAGTAGTGTGTGATTTCAATATAAGCTGGTGTGGTCAGGAATGGTTTCCTATAAAGGTAGGAGTTAAAGAGTGAGTATAGATAGAATCAGAGAAGCACCTTATGTTCTGGACACTTCTCTCTCTCTCTCTAGCATTCTTTCTTTTTACCTAATGAGAACCTTAGTGAGTTCAGAGCCATGTCCATTTCTGAAACAGGAATATCTTAAAATTCCAAAAACTAAGGTTCTAATGATGAGAAAGAACAAGAAATGTTGCTTGAAGTTAATGGAAACAAGCCTAACTTCAGCTCACAAATGAATGCAAAGCTTTATTCTCTAAGCTTTATAGAGAATAGGCACTTAAGAATGCAGATGAGGGGAAACAATGCTATATACTTCCTTCAGCTTGCAAAGACTCAGCCGACTCTGCTGCAAATTATTTGCTCTGTTTAATAAGCGCACCACGTGCAAATGTACTAAACACATAAATACACCAAAGTCATAATCACTAGGTTCAATGTCAAGCACCATTTAAATCCACTGATTAAATCAATTTGATGATAGTAAACCTTTTTTATTAGGAGCGCTGTCTGAAGGAGAAAGCAAAACTTAGAGGGAAACTGCACTGTTACTCTTTCCTTGAAGGAAATGAGTAACTCCATTAATTTCATTTCTTTGAAAAGGACCCAATGCAATCTAACATTTTCTCATTTAGAGTAAAATAAGCTTTCCTTTTTTGTTTTTTTCATTCTGTAGAGTCAGAGTAGCGAGTTTTTCTGTGAATGAGCTGAGGTTCCTGAACAAAGTCTGGATGATAAGAGCAAGTACTCATTCTTTCACGGTGCAAGTGCCCATGCTGGATACCTGTGCTATACTAATGATGAAACTTCAGAGGCCTGGGTGCTGCCTAAGAAGTTGCTGATGCCGTCCTGTGAGATTCTGGGCCAACATGGGGCTACCTCAACTTTGTCCTCTTATGTACCCAACCCCTTGGTTTCAGCAAAGGCACATTCCCTGACAACTTGCAAGTGAGGCATGAGTACCTTTGTAGAGTATCAGCTCTGAGGCAACATCAGTCATGCCCTCCAGGTGCATTAGTAACATGTAGGTACTGAGAAGAATTCAGAAAAAACATGACTACATATTCAATTAGATTTTTATCATCCATGGGTTTTTAATTATTCTAGAGAGATAAGACATAGCTGCATGACAGAGTATGCTTTACAAGGGGCTTATATGGTTACTCTCAAAGTCAGAATGCAAGTTAGCATTCAAATAAGAGAATAATCAGAGTGAGATGGAGAGGGTATGGAAGATTTTTTTGGAAGAAATAAAATCCGATCTGAACCTTAAACAATGAGTAGGGTTTTGACTCCGAGAAGAGAATTAGAAAAATAAAAGGCAGGAGATTTGATGTTTGTATGTTTGCTCTTGTTATATGGGTATAGATTATTTAAGCAAATTCTGTATGCTCTGCATTGTGATTTTGGCTTTTCCCACTTCTCCCACTGTCAGTAGGTCTGTGTTTACAGTCATTTATTGAGTGATGTTATAAAGAGTATTTATTAAGAACTTGTTTTCTGCAAGCTCTATGCTAGTCCCTATAAGTTTGGCAAAACAGGCAAAGCTCATTCCTATCTGAAGTTTAGAATACGGAGAATTTTATTAAGCAATACAAACTCATTTTTGTATCTGGATGTTTGGTTCTTAGCTCGAAGTATTGTCAATGTAATTGTCTTTTTAAAAAAACAAAATGACTTTTATTGTGTTGTATTTTCCTATTACAAAAGCAATAAAAACCTGACTTAATGCCACAGGATGGACTTCCCTGATGCTGATCTTGTCTCACTACTGAAAACACGTAGAAATGCTGAATAAAATTTTTAGATTTTCATACAGTAACATTCATTCCTTGGGAGGTACAGTTCTATGAATTTTACTACATGGATGTATTCATGTAGTAAATACAACCACAATAAGGAAATGGAACAGTTTCATCACCCCCCAAATCATACTCCTTCTGTCCCTTTGTATGATGGTTAATATTGAGTGTCAACTTGATTGGATTGAAGGATGCAAAGTGTTCTTCCTGGGTGTGTCTGTGAGGGTGTTGCCAAAGGACATTAACATTTGAGTCAGTGGACTGGGAGAGGCAGACCTACCCTCAATCTGGGTGGGCACCATCTAATCAGTTGCCAGCATGGCTAGAATAAAGTGGGCAGAAGAACATGGAAGAACTAGACTTGTGAGTCTTCTGGTCTTCATCTTTCTCCCATGCTGGATGCTTCCTGCCCTTGAATATCAGACTCCAAGTTCTTCAGCTTTTAGACTCTTGGACTTAACACCAGTGATCCACTAGGGGCTCTCAAGCCTTTGGCCACAGACCGAAGTCAGCTTCCCTAGTTTTGAGGTTTTTAGACTCAGACTGGCTTCCTTGCTCCTCAGCTTGAAGACGGCCTATTATGGGACTTCACCTTGTGATTGCATGAGCCAATACTCCTTAATAAACTCCCCTTCATATATACATCTATCCTATTAGTTCTGTCCCTCTAGAGAACCCTAATACACTTTGCAATAAATACTTCCTCACCCCAATCCCTGGTGACCAATGATCTTTTCTATGCTCTTGTAATTTTTTCTTTTCCACAATGTCATATAAGTAGAATCATACAATATGCAAACTTTCGGGACTGCTTGTTTCACTCCAGATAATGCCTTTGAGATTATCCATGCTGTATATATTTATAGCCCATGACTTTTTATGCTGAAGAGTATTCTGTTACACAGCTGAGCCACAGTCTGTTAACCTTCACTCACTGTAGGACATTTGGGTTGTTCCCAGTTTTTGGTGATTTTGAATGATGCTGCTCAAACCTTTGTGTATCCTTTCTAACTAAAGATAGATTTTCCATTCCTCTAGAGTGAATAAGAATGGGATTGTAAGATCATAGGCTAAGTGTATGCTTAACTTGATAAGAAATTATTAAGTCATTTTCCAAAATAGCTGTACTATTTTGCATTCCTAAAAGCAGCAATGTATGAAAGTTCCAGTTATTCTACATGTATAAAGTTCCAGTTATTCTACATCCAAGTAAGCACTTGGTATTGTCTTAAAAATAAATCCATTTGTATAGGAGCACCATAGCATTAATAATACAGACTGTGTTTTCTTCTGTTTATTTGCCTTCTGAATATCTTCTTTAGTGAAATGTCTGTTCACATCTTTTGCTCAACTTTGTATTGGGTTGTTTGGTTTCTTACTGTTGGGTTTTGAAAGTTCTATATATATATATATTCTGGATACAAATTCTTGATCAGGTATGTAATTGCAAATATTTTCTCCCAGTCTGCAGGTTGTCTTTTCATTATCTTAAGAGTGTCTTTTTCAGAGCAGAAGTTTTTCATTTCGATAAAATCTAATTCATCAATTTTTCAATGGACCATGCTTTTGGTGTTATTTCCAAGGACTTTTTGCTTAGCTCAAGGTTGCCAAGGCTTTCTCTTAGTTTTATTCTAAGAACTTTACAGTGTTGAATTTTTACATTCTGGTCGATGATCCATTTTCAGTTGATTTTTTGTATGACATGGAAATTTGTTATTTATTTTTTACATATGGATGTTCAATAGTTCCAGCACTGCTTATTGAAAAGATGACTTTCTCCATGGAATTACATTTGTTCCTTTATCAAAAGCTAGTTGAACATGCATGCATAGGTTTATTTCTGGACTTTCTCTTCTGTTCCATTTATCTGTGTGCCTGTACTTTCACCACTGCCATCCTGTATTGATTATTACTATAGCTTTATAATAAATCTTAATGTCTGAGTATGTGTGACTTCCAATCTAATTCTTTGTAAAAATCCTCTTGGTTGTTCCAGTTTATTTGATTTTCCATATAAAGTTTAGAACCAGCTTTATTTGTCTATAAAATGTATACTCCTGGGAGTTTGATTTTAGATTTTTTTGTAGTTATAAATCAATCTGGAAAAAAATAACCTCATTACTATAGTGAGACTTCCAATGTGTGAACATGAAATACCTCTCCATTTATCTAGGCCGTTATTTATTTATTTCAGCATCATTTAGTTATTTTCAGCATGAAAATCTGTACATATATTGTTATTACCTAAATATTTCACATTTTAAAGCTATTATGAGTTGTATCATTGTTTTTGTTTTAGTTTCCAACTGTTTATTGCTATAATATAGACATATAGTTCATATTTGTATGTTGATCTTATATCCTGAAACATTTCTATAATCACTTATCCCATAATTATTTGTAGCTTCCATAGTAATTTTATATAGGCAATCATATTGTCTATGAATAGGGATAGTTTACTTCTTTCATTTAAGTCTATATATCTTGTATTATTTTTCTTGATTTATTGCATTGACTAGGATTTCAAACATGATAAGAGTGGTGAGAGCAGACATTTTTGCCTTTTTCCCATCTTAAAGGGAAGGTAGGCATTTTTTACCTATTAAATATGACAGTAGCTGTAAGTTTTTATAAAGGGTCTTTTTTAGATTGAGGAAAGTTATAGTAAACAAAAGTAAAAGTGAATCACATAGAGGAATAAGACATTTACAATGCATACAGCCAACAAATAATTAATACTGAAAAGTATAAAGAATTCATGCAAATCAAATAGGAAAAAAGCTGACAACTTAGGTAAAGGCTACATTAAAAAATTTTATGTAGAAGGGATATTCAATGAATATCTGAAAAGATGCTAAGTCTCATTAGTTTCAAAGTTAGGCAAGATTTTATGTTATATTTAAGTTTTGATGCTGTTGAAAGCACCTTCTTTATAATTATATTTTTGTAAAACAAAGATGGTTTATTAAGGAAGTCATCTAAAAATACTGGCACTGTTTTTTTTTGTTGTTGTTGTTGTTTGGAGACAGAATCTTGCTCTGTCACCCAGGCTGGAGTGCAGTGGCGCCATCTCGGCTCACTGCAACCTCTGCCTCCCAGGTTCAAGTGATTCTCCTGCCTCAGCCTCCCGAGTAGCTGAGACTACAGGCAAGTGCCACCATACCCAGCTGATTTTTTTGTATTTTTAGTCGAGATGGGGTTTCACCGTGTTAGCCAGGATGATCTCGAACTCCTGACCTCGTGATCCGCCCACCATGGGCCTCCCAAAATGCTGGGATTACACGCGTGAGCCACCACACCCGGCCTACAGGCACTGTTTTGATGTTTCGTAGTTTTGGAGATATTGTGGCTGAGTTTTATAATTTTAGTTGTAGGTAAATTTTTAAAGAAGTCCCATTCATGAAATTGTATTAGCTCTTAGACCAGTTATGGTTTATGACTTCATAATTTTCAAGCATGCTTCGTGAAACATGAGAAAATTTTCAAAAGCAAGTTTCATAGTACATGAATGAAGAGTAAAACGTGAATACCAAGAGACTCTGTCTCTTTACATACATTGCTTGAAAGTAAAACCCTCGTACAAGAAATCTGTCAACTATAATTATAAATCAACTTTTCTGTTTTACTTTCTCTCAATCTCATTATTTATCAGGCACATTCTCTGTT
Source organism: Homo sapiens (assembly GCF_000001405.40). NCBI lineage: Eukaryota > Metazoa > Chordata > Mammalia > Primates > Hominidae > Homo > Homo sapiens. The sequence goes on along the minus strand of NC_000018.10, from coordinate 52,103,987 downwards.
TAGCTCTCTGAGTAATAAATAGTCTGTAACCTTGACATTTCTTATCAACAAAGAGAAGCAATTTACAACATAGATTTTTCACCAGCAAAATATACTTAAATTTAACTAATTTACTTCAGAGTTCCCTTTTAATTAACATGGACTAACTTAAACAGAGTAATTTTTTTCTTACCTCACTTAATGCCTGAAAAGGGGGGGGGCTTATTTCACACTACTTATCAAGTTAGAATGAATTGTAGCAATAGGTATTGTTTTATGCCTGAAGGTTAATAAATAGAAAAATTTAAGTTTGATACTCTCAAGTACTGGCAATTATATGGGGGAAATGAGTACTTTTACATGTGTCTGTGTAAAAGTGCTTTTATCAGTTTAAAATATAAAGAGTATTTTTATACTTTAATTACTTCAAACAATTAAATCACACTTTAAACAGCCAACTTAAGGGTATGAGAAGGTGGGGTGGAGGGAGTGAAGGTGTAGGTATAGCTCTTACAACATTTAAAAAGAATACATAATTAATAATTCATTGACCTCAATATACTAAACTTATCTAATCACTTTCAAACATACCAAATTTAAAACAGCATACTTCAAAATAGCTTACAATGTTGGACCAGGCTACCCAAATCATCACCAGAAGATATATTGTAGTGTTTTCCTCCAGGGACGTAAGGTAGGGGAGCAGCTCCCAAAATTGCATCTGGACAAAAGATGTGGCTTATGTTCTTTTACCTTTAAGCTTGTACCTGCCAGATAGTCTTTTGGAGAGGAGTATTTTTGCCTGTTGAACATAGGTTTTTTGTCATGTGCTACGATTTTTGTTTGTTGTGGAATTAATCACATTGGCATAAATGGATGCCCAGGAGAAAATCATGTATCTGTTCCTCCATGTCTCTAGCCCTGATCCCAACACCAGCCTGAGGTTAGGATTGCTTAAAAGTCAAAATACTTAGCCCATAGTGGGCTTACAATAAATAGCAAATGAATGATGAAGTGAAGGATTTGTAGAGCTATGAAGAGTGGTTTAAAATCAGCAAATTTCTTCCAGATAGAAATCTATCTTCTTTAGCCATCTGAGTGGATACTGTTTCTCTTGGAAGACAGAGAAAAAAATATGCTCATTTTGCTTAGTCTTAGCAAGATTCTATTGTCAATTATTTATATTCATCAGAACAATGCCACACTTTTAGTTGATACTCAATGAATATGTGAATGACTAAAGCTTTCACAGAGCCTTAAGGCAAGCTATAAAAGATGCCTAATTTACAGCCACCTCCATCAGAGGGAGGCATGAAATGAGGCAAAATGTACAAGTCTACCAAATTCAGTTTATCATTCATTCATTGTTAATTCAACAAATACTTATTAAACCCTACTATTTACTGGGTAATGTTCAAAGTGTTTGGGATACATCAGTGAAGATGATGGCTACTAGCATAGAGTTTGCATTTTAGCCAGAGGGAGATAAAAAATATATGATAAACATAATAAATGAGTTATATAGCATATTAGACTGTGATGTGTGCTATAGGAAAAAAAAGAATAACTACAGCAAAACGAGGAAGAATTGGGCAGTTGGAGGGGGTGACTGCAATTTTAAAAAGAGTGGCTTGGTAGGTCACATTGAAAGGTAACATTTGAGCAATGAATTAAAGAAAGTGGGGGCCGGGCATGGTGGCTCACACCTGTAATCCCAGCACTTTGGGAGGCTGTGGCAGGTGGATCACTTGAGACCAAGAGTTTGAGACTAGCCTGGCCAACATGGTGAAACCCCGTCTCTACTAAAAATACAAAAATCAGCCAGGCATGGTGGCAGGTGCCTGTAATCCCAGCTACTAGGGAGGCTGAGGCAGGAGAATCGCTTGAACCCAGGAGATGGAGGTTGCAGTGAATTGAGATCGTGCCACTGCACTCCAGCCTGGGCAACAAGAGTAAAACTCTGTCTCAAAAAAACAAAAAAGAAAAAAAAATAAAATAAAGGAAGTGAGTATCTGAGAGATGAGGCATCGGGCAGGGGAAAAGTCAAAGGCCTAAGGAGGAAATTATTCCTTGACATGTTCAAGGAATAACAAAAATACCAAAATGGCTGCAGTAGAGTAAAAAGGGAGATTTGAAGGCAGGGAAGTAATGGGGGCTTGAGGTCGGTAGGTTATATAAGGAGTATAGGCCCCTGCAAAGACATTAGCTTTTTTCTGTCTGCCTTAAGAAGTGACTGCAATAGTTTGAAGAGGTTACAGAATTTAAATTTGTTTTTTAAAAATCACATTTTCATGTTAAGAATTGACTATGAACAAATATAGAAACAGGTAGACCATTTAGCAAGCTACAGCAATAATCTGGGTAAGATATGGAAGTGTTGAAACCTGAGAGGTCTCGGTAGGGTGGTGAGAAGTGGTTGCATTGTGGATGTTTTGAAGATAGAGATAAAAGGATTTCCTGATAGTTCAGACATAGGGAGTAAAGAAGAATCAAAGACAACTCAGATTTCTTTGAAAGATAGGATTGTATCAATTAAGCTGGAGCAGAGCAAGTGTCTGGAAAGTAGGTGAAGGCTTCACTGCTGCCATTATTGAGTGTGAGATGTCTACTAGACACACATGTGGAGATATTAACTAACTGCTGGTTGGACAAGTCTGGAATGCAGTGAAGAGGACTGGACTAGACATTTAAGTTTTTGAGTCAGTGGTATTTCAATGAAACATAAAGCTATGAGATTGAATGAGATCACCAAGGAAATTCATGTAGATATAAAAGATAATTTTTGTTTGTTTTTCAAAGACAGACAAAACAGAATTTTGTATGGTGACAGGAATGTTCCAGGGCAGAGGATAAAAAATGGTGTTTCAGGGGAGAGAGGGGAGGATTAAAGGATAGAGGGACTGAACATAGAGAGGAACATAGAGAGGAACATGACACAGGAAGGTAAGGAGTGATATAGTTGTGGGCATCTGTGGAAGCTCTCTTCTGAGTGTTTCAGTTTGCTTTGGAAAGTAAGAAAATAGGAAGCAAGGTCATCAGCTAGGTGAAGATGAAGGATACATTCTGTGTGTTTGTGTGTGTGTGTGTGTGTGTGTGTGTGTGTGTGTGTGTGTGTGTGTGTTTCTCCAGCCTTATCCAATTGTGTGGGAGTAGCCATAGGTAGAGATTTGGTATTAACTATAGTTGTAGTTTAATAGTCAAGTATAAAGAAGCAAGAGAGGAGAAGGCGGTTATACAAAGAAGTTAGTATAATTATTAGCCATGTAATTTAAATTGGATTAGAAGGAAGAGGGAACATCAAAAGACAGTTAAAGAGGGTAGATAAGTGGGTTAGAGTTTCCAGGTAGGGATGGAGAAAAGGACAATGAGGATTGTTGGGATAGGGATCTGTGGTGGCCATGAGTAACCACCCCTCAGATCTCCAAGTACAGGGAGTATAATTACCCAATGTTGCCAGTTTGTGAGTTTTGAAATCTATCATTACGTTTTTGGCAAGGTCAAACTTCCCCAAATTATATCCATACCAACAACTGAGTACAGGAGGGATATTAAGGCAGATTCATTCCCGGAAGATGCAGGAGTTTCCAATGGGCAACTTTGGCTAAAGGACCCCCAATCAGACCTGCAAAAACTGTCTTAAAACTTCATTGCAATCAAAGACTTTTCCTATCCAAACTTTTATCCTTCCCTTTCTCCTCCACAGGGCCTGCACTAACATCTGAAGGTTCTGCCAACATCAACCACCTTCCTTCCCATCTTTCTTCATTGACATTTTTCCCAAGTAAATCTCCTGTACTTCTAATCGTATCTCTACGTGTGCTTCTCAGAGGGCCAGAAATAATTCAGTGAAGCTGAATGAATGGATTGGAAAGATTAGAACAAGCAGCATGGAATTAAACTCATGGAGGGAGGAGTTGTAGGTATTAGTAGTTACAATGTCTAGGATACGTCCATGGTGAGAGAGGCTGCTGTAGAGTGGTGGAAAGGAATCCAAGAACCTGAGGGTCAGGGTGTTGGAAGAATCATTTTTATGTGTTCTACAATTGAAAATAATTAATATAGGAAGCCAGGAGCTGAAAAAAAATCAAAAAATGATGGGAGAATAATAAAAAATCAGAAGATAATACCAAAATGAAAAGTAGAGGATGATGTAATCTGATGACATGATATTTCAAGCTAAAATGTTTGGGAAGTAGGGAGAGAAGAAAGGAAAGTGGTCCGATGTGACAGTAAGCAGCAAAATGGTTGCCTACCCCATTTCATTCCCAATTGTAGGAGGGCTGATAGAAGAAACAAAACCAGTCATATCTTGAGAAGGTTTTAAGAAAAGCTATGTCCTTGGGCACAGGCTAGTGCCATTAGCATAGTGGTATTCAGTGGGGAGTGATTTTAAACCACATGGCATTCCCTCCACCAGGTCATTTAGCAAACTGGGGTGGAAGAGCTACTGGCATCTAGTGGATATAGGTCAGGGATACTGTGGAATATCCCACAAAGTACAGGACAGCCACCCACAACAAAGAATTATCTGACCCAAAATGTCAATAGTGTTGATGTCGAGAAAACCTTCCTTAGAAAACTAGGGTAAAAGAAATTTCAGAGAGAAGGCTGAGGGGATGGGATTTTTGCTAGTCATGATTTTGAATTCCAGAAGGCACAGTGGAAGGGGCTCAAAAGTTGGGAAGAAGTAGCATAGGAAGGCAGAATGCACAGATCCTTCTGAGAGCACAGTTTGGAGATGAGATATGACCAAGAGGACCGGCGTTTCTCGAGATAGCTCATAGAAATAATACCTACTTGTTGGACAGGGTTGCAAAGCCTCCCTCTTCACTCTTTTCTTCAGTTTTTGTGGCTGCCCCTTTACTCTTGCTAATGGTAGTGAAGTGCTGTAAGAGGTGTGGACTGTGGTTTCAGTTCCAGTGCCATGGATTCATCTGGACTCCTGACTGAAAGAGGCACACATACTCCTATTGTATGTGTTCTGGTTCATGTTGACCCTTCAACTTTTCTCTTTTCTGGATCTTTCTTTTTTGTTGTCACCCCTAGCTCCCTACTGGTCACCCCAAGTCCTTATATTTGCTTAGAACTCCTAAGAGAAGTTAGTAACATCCTTGATAAAGAATCCCACCTTTTCTTTCCTGAGTGATAACTCTCCCCACAACAACAGCCACCCACATACACATCCTAACCAACACATGCCTGCTAGCCATTTCTTCACCTTAGGGCTCTGATAAATTAGTGGTTGGCTTAACTACCATTTCTAGATGGATATGTTAAACCTACCAAATAATAATGAATCTGAACAAAGGCTTTTAATGCTTTAAGAAAGCATTACCATTGAGATTTCAGACAGAGGCAAAACTACTGTTAGACTTCAAAAATTATACTACCCAGGTGGCCAATTCTGTTTCAGTCTTTATAGATGATACAAAACATTATTAATATAGTTACTTCCTCATGGTTGAAAGATTCCACAAAGACAAATTCTAGAAGACAATACTGAGAAGAATTGTATCGCCTACATCACTCTCCCCTTTTATTCCCATTTAGCTATTTACACAGATTAGATGCTGTTGCTACCATGGTTTAGCTTGAGCTTCCCCTTTGTGACCTTTCTCCTAATTGATTTCCTTTCCTCACAACACATTCTGCTACCAATTTCCCTGCCCATCTCCCTTCCCTCCTCTCCACCGGCTGGGTTAAATTCACCCAGGGCCTTCACACCATATTCTTCTTATATTTAACCATTTTTCCCTAACTTTTTTATAATTTTTGGTTTACTTACTTTTTGCCCCACAGTAAATTCTGAGCACCATGGAAGCAGAATATATGCCCATCTTCATATATGCAGAATTGCTGTAGTGCCTGGCACTTCAATACTTGCTAAATTAGTGAACGGATAAATGGATACATGACTGAGTGAATAACTTCAGCTCCACAAAAGATGTGTGGGGCTCTAACAGTGCTGCCCTTTTGTGAAAAATTCTGAACTATGGGAGTTACAAATTATCTTTATATTGTTTCTTCTCCTATTCTTTACTGTTATGCAATCGATTCTTGCCGCTAACCACCATGCCAATTTCTACCAGTGCTTCCTACAGTTTTACTATCCTGCTTATTTCTATTCTACTGTGGGATAGGAAACCCCAGGTAATGAAAGGTGTGGCAAAGCTAAATGTAAGCAAGTAGGCTGTGAGTTAGGGCATTAAAAACTACTTTATGAAACAAAAAAAAGATAGGATCTTTAGGGCCAGCAATTTTTGCAAGTTATTTTTTGTCTCTCAGAAGCCTTTTTCTCCTCTCGTATGTTACACAACTGTGTGCTAAATAGTGGAGTCCTGAGAAAAAGAAAGGTTATCACATTCACATTATGTTGGTGGTGGGTTGAAATGTTATTGTCCTGTACCACTAGTGTCACCTTAAAGGTGAGAATGGTGTCTAAATTCTGCTCCATACTCATAAGTGCTCCATACATTCCTTCTGTATTCCTTAAGTCTTCAATGAAAACCCTTGTCCGATTTTATAGCACCACTTCCACTTAGTCACAAAAATGTAATATATAGTAAAAAAATTTGATGCCTTATATATTATTTTTCTTTTTCTTGTCTTTGTTGCTATTTCCTTTTTACCATAAAGCAAGATAAATAGTAAGAACAAAACTTTAAAGGGAAAGAATCTAGTTCAACCTCCAGTTCTGGCTCTATCATCTAACTAGGTAAACAGACATAAGGGGAAGAAAACCCTAAACTTCAGCTTCCTAGTTTACAAAAAAAAAGAAAATGAGGATAATTGAATGCTTAATTCCCAGGATTTAGATGAGAACCAAATGTCTAATATGGGAGAAAATATTTTGTAAGCTATAAAGAACTCTAAACATTGCTCTGTTAAATCTAGAGGAAAGGACAAAGAGATTAGGCAGTTACCTAGGTACAGAGAAAAAGAGCAAAAGGAAGAACTGATATGTAGGGAATAAGAGGAAGCAAAGGATGTTTTTCCTAAACTCAAAGACTGTACAATCTATTTACAGTAACAAGATTTTTATACAAGAGATAATTAGTGAACATTACCAAACAATATATGTAATCAACTGAGAAATTGTGGAGTATGGAATATTAACTGCTTTAGGACTTTAGAGAAAGGAGATGTATGTTAACTGAATAAGTTAAGAAAGTCATCTTAGAAATAAACTCTTTATTTTTTAAATCTTGGAACTGTAAACAATTTCTAGTTTCACTTCCATCATTTCAGAGATGAAGAATCAAAGAGTGCATCTTATTCCCTTCAAGAAGAATCTTATCCTCAAGACTTAAAGGATTTGATCTGAGAGCTAGTTAGGCATGCCCCTTATAATCTAGGACCCTTTCCTACACCCTCCCCTTGGAGAAGAAAAAGAACAGAATATGCCTTTAACAAGATATCATGATAAGCCAGCATCTTAAACCAGGACGTCAGCCTAAGGGACCAAGAAAAAGAGGGAGGCTAAGACTGAAATCCCATGGGTGGACGATTAATTCCAAAGGCTAAGGAGCTTTCCGGTTAGGAGTATTATGATTCTCACAGAGACTTCTGGAGCCACCAAGTGTCCTTAACCTCTTTCTTAGAAAGAGAAAAACAAGAGAGAATATCCTCTGCAGCTTTCTGATATGGTAAGAACAACGTATTTAGTAGTTCTTCCTGGTGAGCAGCATGTAACATCAAACATGAAATCCAGATATCACATCAAATATGATGGGTAGTCAGATTTTAGACAAATAAGTTTAAGGGGAAAACTTTTTTTTGTGTGTGACGGAGTCTCCTTCTGTCACCCAGGCTGGAGTGCAGTAGTGTAATCTCTGCTCACTGCAACCTCTGCCTCCCGGGTTCAAGCAATTCCCCTGCCTCAGCCTCCCAAGTAGCTGGGACTATAAGCACGCACCACCTCCCGGCTAATTTTTGTGTTTTTAGTAGAGACGGGGTTTCACCATTTTGGCCAGGCTCGTCTCGAACTCCTGACCTCAAGTGATCCACCTGCCTCGACCTCCCTAAGTGCTGGGATTACAGGTGTGAGTCACCATGCCGGGCCTTGGAAATTCATTTTGATTCAGCAAATCCTCTCTGAAGGCAAGCACTGTATTAGAAGCTGAAAATACAAATATGCAAACTTGTCTCTGTTGGAAAGGAATTCACTCTCTAGCAGGGGTGACAAATAAGAAAAGTAAACAGTCAGTTTTAATAAAATGCACTAAGTACTGCAGCAGAGAGAAGCAGAGGAAGCCAGAGAAATCTCAGACCTAATCCAAGTTTTTCACTCAATTTAGATTTTAACCCCTTAACCCAACCGAGTGAGGTGTGGGGTCCAGAACATACTTCACAGACAGCATGGTGCCTGAGCTATGAAATCAAAGAATGGTCTGTAAAACTAAACTGTGAGGTGCACAGTGATACAATGAGAACACTAGATTGATCACTATTATTTTTTTCTAGACCTCAGCATTGGGAATTTAGGGTATCCTTTTTCCCCTTCCCAATGTTAGAATCCATGAAAAGAAATAAGGCACAGATAAGTGGATGAATTAAAATGTCATATTTATTAATAAACCTGATATAACAACTTGGCTTTGGATTTGTGGTTTAAAGTTGACTTGCTACTGGAAAGGCTCTTCACTTTTATTGTTATTATTATTGTTATACTTTAAGTTCTGGGACACATGTGCAGAACGTGCAGGTTTGTTACACAGGTATACACGTGCCATGGTTGTTTGCTGCACCAATCAACCCGTCATCTACATTAGGTATTTCTCCTAATGCTATCACCCCCCAGCCCCCCACCCCTGACAGGCCTTTGTGTGTGATGTCTCCCTCCATGTGTCCATGTGTTCTCATTGTTCAACTCCCACTTATGAGTGAGAACATGCGGTGTTTGGTTTTCTGTTCCTGTGTTAATTTGCTGAGAATGATGGTTTCCAGCTTCGTCCATGTCCCTGCAAAGAACATGAACTCATCCTTTTTTATGGCTGCTTAGTATTCCATGATGTATATGTGCCACATTTTCTTTATCTAGTCTATCATTGATGGGCATTTTGGTTGGTTCCAAGTCTTTGCTATTATGAACAGTGCTGCAATAAACATATGTGTGCATGTGTCTTTACAGTAGAATGATTTATAATCCTTTGGGTATATACCCAGTAATGGGATTGCTAGGTCAAATGGTATTTCTGGTTCTAGATCCTTGAGGAATTGCCACACTGTCTTCCACAATAGTTGAACTAATGTACACTCCCACCAACAGTGTTAGAGCTTTCCTATATCTCCACATCCTCTCCAGCATCTGTTGTTTCCTGACATTTTAATGATGGCCATTCTAACTGGCAAGAGATGGTATCTCATTGTGGTTTTGATTTGCGTTTCTGTAATGAACAGTGATGATGAGCTTTTCTTCATGTTTGCTGGCCGCATATGCAGAAAACAGAAACTGGATCCCTTCCTTACACCTTATACAAAAATTAACTGAAGATGGATTAAAGACTTAAACATAAGACCTAAAACCATAAATCCCCTAGAAGAAAATCTAGGCAATACCATTCAGGACATAGGCATGGGCAAGGACTTCATGACTAAAACACCAAAAGCAATGGAAACAAAAGCCAAAATTGACAAATGGGATCTAAGTAAACTAAAGAGCCTCTGCACAGCAAAAGAAACTATCATCAGAGTGAACAGGCACCCTAGAGAATGGGAGAAAATTTTTGAAGTCTATCCATCTGACAAAGCGCTAATATCCAGAATCTACAAAGAACTTAAACAAATTTACAAGAAAAAAACAACCCCATCAAAAAGTGGGTGAAGGATATGAACAGACACTTCTCAAAAGGCTCCTCACTTTCTATGGGAAAAAAATAGTAATAATAATAAGGGCACAGAGGGAAGTTGAGGGTGATCTTTCCATACTTTTCCCCCTGCAGCATGCAGGATCAGTGCCCGTTTCAAAAGTGTTCATTGAGTGCATGGAATCCATGTAAACATTTTGTCTATTTATTGAGCTTTCTGAGAAGAAAGAATGGCCATATGCTCTAGTAGTGCATGTATGAACTGCCTTGCTGCAAGGAATCAAAGGTAAGGTGTGGTTCCATAGGAGCTGCCACAGGTCAAAGTTTCCTTTGAAAATTCAAGTTTTGCCTAATAATGGTTCTTTATGAAACGACCAAAAGTCTTGGTTTTGTTTATATTTGGCAATCCCAGCACCTTTGGCTCAGAACCCATTTCTTAGTTTTGTTTGGTACTGTAACTTCAAAGGTGGTCTTTCTTCCTCCTTCCCTACTTCTCTCCCTCCTTTCCTTCCTCCCTTTCTTTCTATGTATCTTTCAGACCACTGTTCCTTTTTCCTGCTCAATGTGCCAGAAAAGAGCTGACACTCACTCACATAACCATAGGTTTGACATGACCCTACCCATAGTCTCACAGAATGTGTAGGTTGAATGGAACTTGTGATGAATTTTAATTCAGGACCAAAGCCATTGTTTTACTCAATGAGATGTTCCACTGCACTAAATCCCTTATACCTCAGGAAAAGGTGATCTTTCCTCATCCTCCTCTACCTAAGTCTTCAAATGTGTAATGCTCTACATGGGGCAAGACATTTTCCCCTGATTTCTTCACAGCAATCACTTTGTGCTCTGAAGCATGAGATTCAATTACCCATATCATTGTCTTTGCCTGCACAGCTACAACCATTAATAATGATCATAAAATTGCCTACTTCTTTAATATAAATTCAGTCACAGTTATGCAGTTCCAATCATGCATCACCAGGTACATTAAAATATATACATTTTCTAAGCGTCTAGGGAATAACTGCCTCTTAACAAAATTTGCATTCTATTTAAAATAAATTTCAAAAAATGTGAAAATTAAGTGACTGTAAATAGCCTAGCAATTATTCTAATTAGGAAAATGTTTCTAAGAGAAAATAAGATGACTCTAAATGAACCATACATTTATTTTCTCTAATGTGTATTTGATCTATGTCTCTATTTAGGGTGATGTGTGTATATTTTTAAATTATGCTTTTTTGAACTTGCAGTGGATCTTTGCATTTACCAGCTGGGAATAGTTCCTTCGGGCAGAGGTCGTGGGACATCAAAACTGAGCCAGCATAGCAAGAACTGCATTTTCCTACTGGAGTGTTAGTAAAATTTCAGGCAAAAATCTGAGCATCCCTGTTAAGCCCCAGAAAAGAAACTTTCCTGCTGAAACCTCTTACAGATCAATGCCACTTTGCACCCCCTCTCCATGATATTCTGGAACTGCAAAACACAGTTATGTAGGCTTTAAATTTTGGAAATCAACTTTTTTGTTTTCATTTCATTTTTCAATGTACATCGCTACAAGATAAGGGATCTTCATTTTTCTTTTTTAACCTGACTGCAATACATTATCACATAGAATAAAATTGAGAATTCCTTAATACCATCAAATATCTTGTAAATGTTTACATTTCTAATTGTATCCTAAATAGCAATTTTGGCTAACAGTTGTTTGATTGGATCAAGATAAAAATAAGATCAGTTCATTGATTAGTATAATGTTTAAGTTTCTCTTTAAAAAAAACACACACAGGTGCAATTAACACACCATAACATTTACTGAGTTTAAGTATAGTCGTCAATGATTTTAGTAACTTTACATTGTCTCTCTTAATCTATAGGTTTCCCCTTCATCTCTCAATTTATTTCTTTTTTTAAATTGATGTGTTGAAGAAACTGACTGGGTCATTTGTTCCACAGAGTTTTCTAGATTTTCTATTTTACTGAGTTCATTCCCATATATTTTTGTGTTTTTTAATCACTATTTATTAGTTTTAAAAATAAATTTATAATTTATAAATTCTTGTAAATTTACGTTTACAGATTTTATAAAAATAACTGCAGTTTTAATTCACTTACTAATTATTTACTCTTTATTGGTAGTTGGTATAAATTGCCTTTAGCTAGAACATTTTATCAGTGGTGGTGTGTGTTTCAACAAGATGTACCCTCTTGTTGTAATGTCAGCAGCTGTTAACCATGAATGCCTTTGTATTAATTCATTAGGGATTTAAAAGAGTAATATTCTACATCTATTAATTTTTCTTCATTTATTAGCAAAAAACTATCATAAAGAATTATCCTTCCATTCTGTTATTTAGTTAGCCAAAAGTACAGACTACATAGGAATGGCAGGTTAAAATGTTGGACCATTTCCTTTTATACACGTTTTCAAAGTAATTAGTTTGTTTCCTAGCATCCTCCAATACTGAACAATATCTTGTTGTTGTCTGTATTCTCATGTACTTATAAGTTTAAACATATTCAAATGTCTTAATCTATTGAGATTATCCTCATTATTGTTTCTCAAAGTGTCCCATTAGTAGCTAGTGGTATCTTCTTCCTGCTTCTGAGTCCTACTGACTCAACATGGAATGATGAAGATATTCTTTTTCCAGACCCACAATTGGCCCTGAGAATCTCAACATTCCTAAGTTTCAATTCCATGTGCACATTTATGCACTGTATGGCCCTTCATTCTGACTAACCACTGTGGTTTCTGATTGACACCTTTATTCTCTTTCCCAGTACATTTCCTGTGTTTCCATTTTCTGGATAGAATATAACAAGTGTTATCTTCAAAGTCAGGTTAGGAGTTCTACAGTCATATTTTATTGATTCATTCACCAAACGTTGATAAAAATGTGGCAGTCAGGGTTTGATTAGAGAAGCAGAAACTCTGTGAATGATATAAAGGACTTATAAAAACTATGTTTTATGCTATAATTGGTGTCAGTGGTGAAGGCTATGCAAGCCTGTCACCTCTGAGTTTAGTTTTGGGTTAAAGCCACCATAGGCTAACCAGGTCAGTAATCAGAAAGGAGGTTGTGGAGAAGAAACTTAAACTAGAACTCACCAGTTCAGACAAACTGGTATCCATGAGGACCACCTGGAACTTATATCCTTATCTCATTGCCCTTCACTGTAGTGATGTAGATGAATGGATGATTTTCAGGACAGCCTGATGCCTTTTACTATGGGTTCACATACACACCTAGCCCAGAACTGAGGAGCTCAAGAAGGATACATGCCAGGAGCTGGACAAGTTGCAAGTCTGGGTGATACAGCACACGCATAAGGTGAGCCAGCAGATCAGCAGCAAAACCCATGAGTTGTCATTGTTCCCAGTGTCGTACGCCAGGCTTCAGGGCACAAAAGTGGTTGCTGCTTCATGTCTGCTCTCCAAATACTGAACACATTTCTCTTGTCACTAAACCTAATCTAGTAGTGGACAAGGAAGGGAATTGTAAAAGTAGTTTCAGCTTAACTAGTTTGAAAGCATGCAGAGCCACCAGAAAGAATCCACTCCTTACTAGCTTGGCATCCACATGCTCCTCTTTTCATCACGCTTAAATTCCAAATAAGGAAAAGAGGAAAATCATGCTTTACCTAATTTTTTGTAACCATCACTCAGAAAATGGAAAATATGCCATTACTTTCCCCAAAAGAGGATTCAAAGCCCTTTGTTCATTTGTGGGTGATGTTCATTCCTTGTCTGATTCCGACATACCATCTAACAACCTTTGATGTGCTGTAATTAAAATAGGGAGCTATCAAAATATAGAATATAGGAAATATACAATATAGAAATATAAAAATATATTCATATCAAAACAAGAAAGATACACTCATAGCTATTTTCATCCTCATTGCTGTATCTGGTCACCTGATTAAGTATGGTTTTTAGGATCTTCTACTACTCATTTTATATTCCCTTTGTCCTCAGCAGCCCTGAGTCACTTGCAATTTCTTGCTTGGTAGGGTGATCTCATTCCTTAAGGGCTTGGGTTGTTAGGAGTCCTGCCTATACTGGATTGTAGTAATTTTTAATTGACTTTGATTAGAGGATATGAGAGAACTAAGAGACATTGCAGAGAATTTCCTGTATTTAGACCTGTTCCTTATTATCACCATTGTGTAGTAATTATGACATTTGTCCCTATGTTCAGATAAATCACCACAGCTAGTATAGCAAACTGCTTTGTTGTTGATTCACTGGTATATGGAGACCAAAGTGTCCAGGTGATATTCTTAGCTTCCAGTTTATTGGAGACATTGTGTGTCTTTTGCTATAAGCGTTTCTCCCTTGGGAATTAGGACTTTAACACTAATAGAGCCCAATGCAGTGGGGAAGAGAAGAAAACTTGTTTGTTGATTCAAAGGTATGAGAGTGAGAGGAGCCATTGCTATTGCTTTCCCTTAGATCCAGACCCATTAATTTTGGCTATGGGAGAAACAGGACCGTATATTAGATGCTGATTTAGTGCAAAACTATATCCTGGAGGATGTTATTTAATCACTGAATGGTGTTCTCACCAATTGGCACCATAACTGAGTCTTCAGAAAGCCCTTCTACCATTCTGTTAGGCCTGCTGCTTCAGGGAGATGGAGAGTATGGTAAATCATAAATTTTGCAAGCATGGGTTCTTTGTTGGACTTTATATGATATGAAATGAGTTCCTTAACCAGAAGCAATACTCTGGAATACAATTTTATGAATGGGGCATTCTGTAAATCTGTGAATTGTTTGGGCAGAAACATTGAGGGAACAGAAGAAAAACCTATATGCAGAGTAAGTGTCTTTTCCAGTAAGGACAAATTACTGCCTCTTGGTTATGGAAATTGTGTAATGCAATCTATCTGCCTCCAGGAGAAGAGTACCATATTAAGGGCTTAGTGTTGGTCTCTGCTGTTGGCAGGCTGAGCACTCAGCAAAGACTGTAACCAAATCAGCTTAGATAAATGAAAGCTCATGCATAACCTTCCCCTCTGCCATGCTGGCCACTTTGTTCATGAGCCCATTAGGTAAGGACAGAGGGAGCTAGGTAGAGAGACTGACTGATGTCCACAGAATAGCTTTTTTTGTCTACTCAGTTATTACTAACATCCTCCCCTGCTACAGCTGCTCTTTTGTGAACATTTACACAAGACACAAATATCTTCACAAATTCTACTAATTTGGAAAGGTGTATCAACATAACTGTTACTCAAGTTTTCTTGTCACCAATTCCAATTCCAATTTCTTTTTAATCTCTGATTATCTAGCCAACCAATTTGATATGTTGTATGAATCAGTGTAGATTCATACCTCTGGCAATGTCTCCTTCTAGGCAAAATTTAGGTGCACTGCTTGATGTTATGCCCACTGAAAGAATTTTGCCTCACCAGTACCCTTTTTTCTTCTTTAATCAATTCATCATAGAGAAATTCCCATGAGGCTATAGGTGCATGTTGAGAGGAGGAGGAGGAAATGCAGCATAAATATGGAATGTGGAAATCTGTGCCACTTGACTTATGCAGCTACCTGTGCCTTCAGGATCTACTTAAGCCCAAGATTGTATATCCCTCTTCTATTTTATGATAAAGTGCTTCTGTGTATGCCTACATTTATGCATGGTGGTATAGAAAATACCCATTTAAAAATGGACATCTTAAGTCATATGGAAATTTTACGGTCTATGGCCAAGTGTTCAGTCATCTCAAGAGCCCAGTTGAAAGCTAGAAGGAATTTCTCAAAATGATAAGCATTATCTCTAGAGATTAGAATAGTTGTGTTCCAAAATCCTGGAGGGTCTGCAACGTGATTTGCATATGAAAGCCTTTCAAATGCTTCCCTTCCCTATCTGACACTTCGAGTGCCATTGCGTCTGATGGGTCATATAGTCCAAGAAGAAGAGATGCTTACATGGCAGGCTGGACCTATTACAGAGCTTTCTTTTTCTTGCCTTGTCTCAGTTCAAAGCTAGCAGCTTTTCAGATTTCTCAGTAAATGGTTGCAGTAGAGTGCACAAATGAGATATACATTTCCTCCAAAATACAAAGAGGCCCATCAGTTATGATGCATATTTCTTATTGGTGGAAAAGGGCAGATGCAGTAATTTGCCTTTCACTTTGAAAAGGAGACTACCTCAGACCAAAGGATCCTGAAAAATTGTTGAAGTGTGTGGTAGACAAACTAATGCTCCCCCACAAGGATGCCCACATTCCAGTCCTCCAAACCTGTGAATACGTTACCTTACCTGTCAAAAAGAATTTTGCAGATGTGATTATGTTATTATCTTGAGGTGGGGACATCATACTATATTATGCAGGTGTTCCTGATACAATCATAATGATTCTTATAAAAAGGAGACAGAAGGGTCCTAGTCTGAGAAGGAGATATGATAATGGAAGCAAATGTCAGGGAGAGATAGAGACAGAGGTATTTGAAGATGCTGTACTGTGGACTTTGAAGCTGGAGGAAGGAACCATGAGATAACGAACAGTTTCCTGAAGCTGGGAAAGACAAAGAAACATATTTTCCCCTAGAACCTCCAAAAGAAATGCAGCCCTGACAATGCCTTAATTATAGCACTTCTGACTTCCAGAACAGTGAGATAACATATTTACGTTTTGAGACCCCAAGTATGTCATAATTTGTTACAAGAACAATAGGAAATGAATATTAGGTGGCAGTGAATTTTTGTGAAATTGATTTCCCTTTCTCTAAGTGTCTAAATCAGAAAACTACAGATTTTGTTACACTTATGATACAATCAATGTAAGAGAAGAGTGTGATATCTTGTGGTCTGCAGAGGTGAGGAAGTTCCTTGTGGACTCTATTGCGACATAGGATTAGAGAGTTGATATAGCCCTGAAGGACGACAGTAAAGGTGTATTGCTGGCTCTGCTAATGAAAAGAAAATTACTTCTGATGGTCTTGACTAATAGGTACAGAGGATAAAAGTATTTGCCAGATAAATAACTGCATACCAGGGGCCAGGGGATATGTTCATCTGCCATAGCAATGAAACCACATCTGGATGAACAGATACAATTGGAGCTATCTCATTAAATTTATAATAGTCTACTGCCCTTCATCAATATTCATCTGCTTTCATCACAGGCCAAAAAAGTTAATTGAATGAAGTTGTTTTAGAAATCATCATCACTTGCAATGTTCAAGTCCTTGATAGTGACAATTCTACAATTCCCTTAGGAATGTTGTATTATTATTATTTTATAATTCTGATAGAGAGAGAAAATTAGAGTGGCCTCCATTTGAACTTTCCTACGTGTATTAGTTTTTTTATTCTGCTTAACAAATTACCATAAGATTAGTGGCTTAAAACAGCACCCACTTATTAGCTCACAGTTCTTTAGTCTGGCATGGCATGGATGGGTTCTCTGCTCATGGTGAAATCAATGTGTTGTCCAGCTGCATTCTCATTTTGAGCTCAGGGTCCTCTTCCTGGCTCATTCTTGTAACTGACAGAATTCAGATCCTATAGGTTTAGGACTAAAGTCCTCATTGCCTTGTTGGCTATCAGCTAGGGGCTGCTTTCACCTCCTAGAACCTGCCTGCTTCATTCATCATGTGCCCCCCTCATTCTTCAAACCAGCAGTGATGTGTCCAATCCCTTCCTTGCTTCAGATCTCTCTGACTTGACCTTCGGCCATCACCTGGAGGAAACTCTCAGCTTTGAAGGGAGGTGAGATTAAATGAAGCCCACTCAGATAATCTCTCTGTACCTAAAGGTCAATTAATTTGGAATGGTTATTTCATCTGAAGAATTCTCTTTATGGCAATGCCTATATTAGTATTTTATTGAATAACCAGGTGATTGTTTTCTTGGGGAAAATCCTTCGACGTCTGCCCACACACTACCATAATTGTCCTCATTTCATGAGTCAGGGAAACACTGTATAGATTCTGCCACTTTCTGAGTATATTTATTTCAACCATGCATTGCAAAAGTAGGGCTATGAATGCAGGTGTTTGAGGTAACAACTGGACTCATTGTGAAATGAACTCAATTCAAAACTCGATTTCCTGGATTCCATAATTTTCTTCTTTAATTTATGGACCACATTGAAACTTTGGGTCTCCAAGAAAGTGTCAATTCCAAAAATGTATATCGTCATCCCCAAAAAGGCTGTTTATTTTCCCTTTGTCTATGCACAACCCACTGATAAATGGCCTCAACTTCCTTTGAGGAAGTCTAGGTATATTTAAAGATTAAATTTTGACTGTTAGCAGGGTCATTCCTTAAGGAAACCTTACCTCCCCATCATTCAATGGGTTTCAACCCTTCAAACTGGCTTAAATCCAGAATTTTTTTTTTTTTTTTTTTTTTTTTGAGATCTAGTCTCACTCTCTTGCCTGGGCTGGAGTGCAACGGTGCGATCTCAGCTCACTGCAACCTCTGCCTCCTGAGTTCAAGCAATTCTCCTGCTTCAGCCTCCCGAGTAGCTGGGATTACAGATGCCTGCCACCACACCCAGATAATTTTTGTATTTTTAGTACAGATGGGGTTTCACCATGTTGGCTAGGCTGGTCTCAAACTCCTGACCTCAGGTGATCCACCAGCCTTGGCCTCCCAAAATACTGGGATTACAGGTGGGAACCACAAGGCCCAGCTTAAACCCAGAATTTTTTTTGAAAGCCCAGGATTCACTGTTGAGATGATACATATTAGACATGTGTTCTCCAGGATTAGAGTTTTTTATTTGTATAAATCAAGTAAAACTCTAATAGGCTGTTCATCTATTTCAGTTCTAGAAACACTATGATCAACTCAGCCATGACAATGATCTCTGTAGGCAGACAATTCTGGTTATTTCTTGGCTCTGATGGCTGTTACCATAACTAAATCCACTTTGTCTTTGATGATTAAATCCTACCATTTGGCCACTACCAGCCCCCAACCTATCATCCCTATTTAATTCAGGGAGCCAGTTTGATGGCAGCAGGTCCCACTGTCATCCTCGGCTGACACAGAATAGCCATCAAAGAACTCTTAAAAGATGCTCTACTTATAAATGTTTCTATCACTGCTTTGGTTAAGAATTGTCTTCTGGACCTCCAGAAATGTCATTAGGGATGGATAAGTAAGTCTTACTTGGAAAATGTATCATAGCCTTCAGAGCTCCCTAAGCTTTTGAAAGTCTTCCTTTAAAATATGCCAAGAAAATTTTGGCATTTTAACTTCACTTTGTCTAGGATGCTTTGGGATACAGGTTTCAATCAAATCACCAAGAAAACTGTTAGAGAGACTCCTAGTTACTCAGCTAACATTGATTCTAGAATTACTGCTTAGTTAAGCCATATTAACAAATTCATTCCAATACAATATTTTACTCTTTCTACCCTTCTCCAACACACCTAGAATCCATTCCTGTACTTGCTCCCCAGGCTGCTCTCAACATACATTGGCCATACCTTGCAATTCTTCTATTCTATATTATACCTCCTCATAGGTCATATTTTGTGCTTTACTTTCTCAGGCACTGCTAGGATTTGAGTTTGGTTACAAGTCAAGAAGCAATGGAAGATTCACATTGTGAACCCAAAAGTATTTGACAAAGGTCTCAATCAACTTAGAAAGCTTATTTTTCCAAGGCTAAGGACATGCCCATGAAATAGTCTCAGGAGGTCCTGATGACACGTGCCCAAGGTGGTCAGGATATAGCTTACTTTTATATCTTTTAGGGAGACATAATACATCAATCAATACATGTAAGATTTACATTGGTTTAGTTTGGAAGGGCAAGACAACTCAAAGCAGGGGCTTCCCGGTCATAGGTAGATTTAATTTTTTTTCTGATTGGGAATTGGTTGAATGAGCTATTATCAACAGGAAAAAATGTCTAGGTCATGATACAGTTTTGTCATGCAGATGAAGTCTCCAAGTAGCAGGCTTCAGACAGAATGGATTGTAAATGTTTCTTACCAGACTTAAGATCTGTGTTGATGTTAATGTTATTCAGCTTTTTCTGAATTCCAAAAGGAAGGAAGGAAGGTATAATGAGGCATGTTCAAAATCCCCTTCCCTCATGACATGAACAAGTTTTTCAGGTTAACTTAGAAATGCACTTGGCCGACAGGAGGGATCCAATCAGACGGTTGGGGACCTCAGAATTTTATATTTCAGTTTACAACATATAGGGCTTGAAGAGGAACAGCAGTCCTCTGCAAGGAACATACCTAATGGAAGACCATTTCAGGTTCTTCAGGCAAGGTAATACTCATCTCTTCAGACAGGAATAGAAAGGGGGCTTCTACTGGTAAAAGAGGGTCAGTAAAATTTAGGAGCTGGACCGTCAGCTTCATTAGAGTCTTCACATGTGAATCCAGTTTTTAGGATGCTAGTCCTTCCACACAAATGTCCTAACTTTAACATAAAAGATCCTGTGTAATTAACAATTCAATTTGTGTAATAATTACTATGTACAGGTTTAGACTTTGTATTCAATATTCAGCAATCTCAGCCATGATGTTATAAGAAATAAAGGTTTCCTTTAGGGCAGTCTGAGAGATTCCTGGATTCTTCCCAGACATTGAGCTGGGAATTCAAAGCTCTGGGCTTAAAATTTTATTTCCACAAGTTCTCCACCACACTTGAGAGCATCAACTAGCCTTATTATACTCCTTACTTTCACTAAGTTATTCTATGCCATATTCTTGGACCCTCAAAGTCTTGCTTGCTTCCATCAGCACCTGATTATCACAAACTGCCACATACTACAAGGTGAGCTAGCAGATTGTTAACAGGTGTGTGCTGCCACTGTTCATGTGCCAATCTTCAAGGAATAAAAAATATCTGCTGCTTTACTTCCACCATGCAAACATCATGCCCATCTCTCCTGTGCCAATCCAAACCTGAAGCCATACAGAGAAGAAAATTCATGGAAACATACTTCCAACCTAACTATGCTGACAAAGCCACCACTTAACACCATCCTGTGCCAGCCAGTTCCAGCCAGTGAGCTAAACCTTGCATATAAAAAGCCGAATGCACTATTTGCTCTAGAGAAAGTATTTCTGAATAAAAGACAGTTGAAATACATTGAAAATTACATAATAGTATGTATTCTGTGGGAGGATAAAGAAGAAACACAAGCATTTTCTACCTTGCCCAAACTAACATAAAATAAATTAAGATTATTCACTGATTCACAGAACCTAAAGAACTCTTAGTCATATTTCAGGTTTGGAAAAGTTATTGTGCCATGAGGATTCTTATTTTGCAATACTTCTTTGACCTGTGTTTTCCTTTGGATTCTCACTGCTGTCACCGTGAGGTAAGTATCTGTTACTTAATTTATAGATAATTATGTGTCATCCTGGCTGGTTTTGCTGTTCTCAATCTCTCATTGTGGTCTAACTTACATTTACTGAGAAATTCCATTGATTTTCATCTTGTCATTTTTCCTCTTAAAATCCACTAATAACCCTCTGTCTGACCCCCATGCTCCAGCTACAGAAAATATGCTTACTCGATGCAGGACCCACTCCAACTTTTGTACAACAACTCCACTGTATAAGAAAGATCATCACATTGACAGGTGGTAAAGAGCCAGATCTAGCAAGAGTAGCTATGATTCTAGAAAAGACAGGATTTTGGCTCTGCAGGAAGAGTCTTGACAAGTTCCATAAGTTAAACAGAGTATAGGTCAGGTTCTGCAGTTGTTGACATACCCCAAATGATGATGTGGATTGCATAAGTTCAAGCAAGTCAGTTTGTGTCCATAGAAATCCATTAATACAAGACGAGTAAAAGAAGAAAAACAGCTCTCAGAAGGCAAAATCCAAAGTCCAGGGGGTTACAGTGTCAGAGACAATTGCACTGGAGTGACAACATTGAGCCCAATCTTGAGTATAGAGCTAAAGTTTATTTTTCTCTCCTGCATTTTATACAGTCTGATATGGGGAGGCTAGCCCTGATCACATAATCTCCATTGTCAGAACCAATTTATGAGGGTCCCTCTACTGACTGAGTGAGGGACATAATGAGGGTGACCATAGGTCTCATTTGCATGGAACAGTCACAGATGTGCCTGTGGTCCAAGCATCACAGTTAACAGCCCCTTCCTTTCACTCTTAAAAGTGCCCCAGTTTGGAAAAGAAATTATACATTCACCTCATACTTACTTAAATGTTCACCTTATATAATATCTGAGCTCATGCAAATCTGAACTAGTTTTGCATATCCCTCTGGCCCAGGGTGTGTCTAGAAATGTGAGCTAGGGCCTAGAACAGGTGATGATTCTGACCGGTGCCCTATCCTACTGTGGTTGAGCTGGTATCCTAGATGTAAGACAAAGTCCTCCCCACTGTTCCCTATTCTCTCCTCAACTGGAAGGAAGGGGTCTCTTTTGGAGCTGCCAGCTGTGCAGTCTGGGATTAGGGGACGGGGGATGTTGGCACTCCCTTGGCTGTCTGAGCTGGTGTTTCAATATGTTGCATGCCCACCCGGTGCACTGTCCCTGGGCCTAGTTCAGCTCTAGGACTCACCTTAGAGTTGCAGTCCTTGTGGCCTAGATTACCTTTCAAGTTTACCTGGAGACACAGAACACTGTAGTCCTCAGTGGCAAGGTTTGCATGCACTTAAGTTCCAACCCCTGGGATCAGCAATTCCCCTCTGGCTAGGGCTGTTTAAATGCTCCCTCCGTGGGTTGGCATCATCTGAGTTTGGTCTGGTCTTTCTTCCTGCTCTAACAGGACAGCACTGAGTTCAATGCCTCACAATTGCTGTGTTCTTCCTTCCCCAGTGCCCAGGGACACTGTTCACACCACACTGCCACTGCTGTGGGTACGGAGAGGTGGCCTTCGCAATTCTGGACTGTTTTTTTCTATCTTTTCAGTGTCTCTTTCAGCAATATGAAGTTAAAACCAGGTACCATACATGCTCACCTGATTCTTAGGAAGGTGATTTTTCTGTGCAGGCAGTTGTTAACTTGGTGTCCTTGGGAGGGAAGGATTGATGGAGCCTTTTATTCCACCGTTTTGCTCCCACCCCCTCCTAGTTTTGCATATGTTTACTTTCAAACTTTGATTCACATAAAGTTGAGCATCTCATCCCATGTCTTTCTGGTGATTAACATGTTTCATGTTCCAATTCACTTTACTCTGTGAATACCCTTCTCTAATGTTCTACAATGTTGCTTTTCTGGTTTTAATTCCAAGCTATATTACCAGTTGTGTTACCTTGTGTAAGTTACTTAACCTTTCCATGTATCAATTTCCTCAACTATTAAATGAACATAATAGGTACCTACCTCGTATGATTACTATGAAAATTAATATGGATTAATACATGTAAAGTGTTCAGAATAGTGCTTAAACATATGTGCTATATAAATACTTGTTAGCTTTATTAGTAGCAGTATCATTAATAATCTTTTTATATGAACTCATGTAGTGTCCTCATTTGGCACTTTGTTAGTTAAATCATTATTTGTGGCTATTTTGTTTCTCAATTAAATTTTAATCCTTAATGACATGGACTGTGCCTTATTTTTGTATTCTTCAGGCACCTACAACAAAACCTTGTAAAGCATAAGAATTCAGTAAGATGATTTACTTTAAAACAAAAATTTCTTAAAACTAATTTGCCATTTTCAAGTAGAACCCATCATGAGCAACATAAGTATATTATTTCATGTGTAACACAGCACTTCAAGGTCTCCAACTTGAGTATAAATTTTTTATAGGCTGGGATACTGGGTAAGGATCAGAAGGAGATTGTTGGGCCATCAACTAACTCTCAGAAAAGCAAATGAAAGCAAATGGTTTTGGATTTATAAAAGATATATTTAAATAAACATTGTTTTATTTATTTTTGCTTATTTCTCTTAGATGTGTTTTCCCTCTTTTTATAATTCAATGTTTTACCTAGTCTTTATAGCCTCCAGGTATATAAAAATTTAACTGTAACTTTATTAAATGTATATGAATTGGTACCACTCTTAGCACTGTTTTAGAATAGGCATAGAATTATTTAAGAAAATTAAAAAATGCAAAAAGTGATATTGCTGATTTCAAAGGATTACAATCTAAAGGAAATATTTAATGAATACAATTTGTACACTTTTAAACTTAAGTAATTAAACCATGGAAACATGGACATAAAAATATGAGTGAACGTATATATTAACTTAATTCTATAGATATTACAGATATGTGAAAAGCTATTATTCTGATTTGTTGCACATCCAATTAATTCCCAATTACATGTAAATGTCATAATTTTATCTCCCAAATCAGAATACAAATTTATCAAGGAAAAAAACTCAATATTTTCCTTCCCTTTTATCTTCCAAAGAAGAATAAACTGTAATCCATGAGTACTGGAGGTTAGAAGACGAACCACTACATTGAGGACAAAGTCAAGATTCCTTACAGTTTTTAAAATGTTATTACTAGAATCGATACTTAGAGTAACTTTTATTGTACTTGAAAGAGGGTAAAAAAGTGTTGTTTCCTCAGTTCAAGAGAATCTGATTCGTTTTTACATCTGTTGAGTTAATAAGAAATGAAATTATAGTCTCTTGATTTAATTTGCAAATTTGATGTAAACTCAGATTTGATTTCCTATAACACTCATATGACAAGTAAATGTATTCCCTACAATATGTAGGAAAACAAGCACCCTTGTCTCAAAGTTAAATGTTATATAACCTATGTCAATCAAAATTAAAATAGAATCTAGAGAACCTCTGTGAGAAAGAGGCCATTTGAATCCACATGTAATATTTTCTCCTCATAAAACACTGCTACAATTATACTATAGAAATATGTATTGAAGACAAACCCCAGAAAGCCAAATTCTAGACCATAATGGAAAAAGCCAATCAATAACCAATCTGATTTACTTTGTGGAGTAATGATGGCATCAGCTTCTCTCAAAGTTAAGATGAATTTAAAGGGTAAACACCAACAAAATGTAGGAGATTTAATTTGTGAAGATTAACAAAGGAACTCTGTGTAGAGGA
Source organism: Homo sapiens (assembly GCF_000001405.40). Classification (NCBI taxonomy): domain Eukaryota; kingdom Metazoa; phylum Chordata; class Mammalia; order Primates; family Hominidae; genus Homo; species Homo sapiens. Next base: position 52,079,190 of record NC_000018.10, on the reverse strand, counting down.
ATGCTAGACCCAGTTGAGGGGCTGTAATGAAAAGAGAGGAGGAGAGAGGGAGGAGAGATGAGTGGCCTTCTGCATACCTAAATTTCAAAAACTGCATTGAGAAGGGAATCAAGGTGAATGTTGAAGAAAATATTGTTATATATTTCACAATGTTTCTTCCTAGCATTTTGAAACTGACACATAAAATTAGCCACTCATCTTCACTGTTGAGAGCAAGTTCAGATATTTGCAACATCAGTGGTAGCATAGGATTATATTGGAGTTCTCTCCTGCCCCAACACACCTTCTCTGAGCAACAGACACTCACACATACACACACACACTTGGGTTCCAAGGGTGAAAAAGCTGATAGAGATGGGAACAAAATGTTACTATGCTGAAGGAAAAAATCATTTACAAAAGTATATGTGCCATCCTCAGTAGCAGAAATTTTCTCAACCAAAATTTAATAAGGTTATAGTTTCCTTCATTGCTCATCCTTTTGTACTTTTCTTCAGAGAATCTAAATACACAGTTAGGAAGAATATTTTAATATACATTTTCAAATTATTTTTTCTGCTTTTACATACATTGAGTCTTCTCCCCCAAAATTCAAGACTCATAGGAAATATAAGGAGGAGGCTGGGAAGCACAGGTGGAAATAAATCCTGGGAACCCATTTGAGTGGCAAAGCTTGCTCTGTACTCGAGTCGCTTGGCGGCATGGAGAATAAAGGAAACCGTTGATGTGAGGCAGTTCATAGGCTCAAAGCTTGCTCTATTCTCTTCACCAACTTCTTAAAGCATTACCCTGGTTAGAACAGGTGAGAAATACTGATCTCTCCAATTAATGCTGTTTTAAGAATCATCCCCCAGCAGGATTCCACATCCCTCATCTCTGTCTTTACTTAGTAGCTTGGTGTATAGAACAACTCAATCAACAACAACAAAAACGTAGAGTCAATAGGAAATATGTTCAAGTTACATAGGAAAGTATTACTTTTTATTTTGTACTATTTGGGCCAAATTACATCACTGAAGAGATGCTAAAGAGCACAGAACTTTAATATAGAGCATAGAACTTTAATATACACAGAGATTTAATATACATGCAAATTTATATCTATTGTACAAATTGGGCATTGTTTTATCTACATATTCATTATTGATTATTTGAAAAAAGATGGAAGTATCTTTTTCCCAGATTCCACCTTGTCTTTGCAAATATTGAGGTAGCTTGCAAGTTCCCCTGAGAGTAGCAACTATGTTTTACAATTAACATCCAAATAGCTAGAAGGAAACTTAAAGGTCAACTACTACTCTGATTACACACATAATATATTACTACACAGCATCCCTGACATACAGTCATAACTTCTGATTAAAAACATTCATATGCAGATAATTCGCTACCTCAAAGGCCATTCAGCAGCGCATGTTTGGGCATGCCAATGATCAGAACGGTCCTCCTGGACTTTCTCAGCATAACATCAAAAGCAGTACCTCTAGGGGAAAGATGGCTAAATGTGACCACATTTCAAAAAAATAATAAACCAAACAAAAATATCCTTGTATCAGTAAAGATATGGTACATTACGCTACCCTAATAAACAATCCTCAAATGTTAGTAGTTCAATACAAGAGAGGTTTATTTTGTCTACCTGTTTTGAGGGTAGGAAGGCTCCACTCATCTGAGTCACTTGGGGAACTAGGCTAACATAGTCTCTATACATGCTGTCATGATCAGTACAGAGGAGGATAGGATATCGTGCACTGGCCGTTAAAGCATTTACCCAGAAGTGATGCAATCATTATTGCTCACAGGTTGTTGGCCAAAGCAAGTCGTATTTTTGTTTAACTTTAAAGGGGGCAGGAAAGTAAAGAGACCTGGAAATATTTGGAGAACAAGGCTGACTTCTACCCTTCTGGGTATAAAAGCCAATTACTGTAGACAACATTAAATGGCAGAGGACAAAATAGGTAAAAATACTCAAAATATAGGTGTCAGAAAGATTTACTGAAGTAACAAAAGTTACAATGGTAAACTTTGCAATGCAGGAAGAAAGAGAAAATTAAAGCAGAGCTACGAGTTTTTAAATAGACACAGTCAAATGCTCAGTCTTACTGTTAATGAAAGACTACTAGTTGTAATAACAAAAGCTAATACTTACTTGAAAATACATTGTGCTAGGCATAATGTTTATAACTTATATACATTATTTGAATGTTTCTCCAATACTGCTACAAGAGAAGTATTATTAATCCTGCTTTAGAGATAAAGCTCACAGCCTCTCAGCCGTATTTCTTAAATACAAATAAAATGATTTTACAATTTTCATCCATTAAAAATACAATTCCAACGTTTATAAGGAAAATGAAGTTGAATAAGATACAAATTCTTAAAATCTTTCTAAAAGGTATTTAAATTGCACATATATAAAGGAAATCCAATATGCATAGTCTATGACTCATCAGTTTTATTTTCAGTAATCTATTTTAGGGAAATAATCAAGTTTAGGAGCAAAGATGTGAGAGTAACATTGTGGGCACCAGAGGCTAGGGAGGGGTTGAAGGAGGGGATAGGGAGATGTTGGTCAAAAGGCACAAAGTGGAGATGTTGGTCAAAAGGCATAAAGTTTCAGTTAAACAGGAAGAAGTTTTTGAGATCTTAGTTAAAAATAATGTATTGTATATTTCAAAATAGTTAAGAAAGCAAATTTAGAACATCTCTCCACAAAAATAAGTGAGGTATGAATATGTTAGTTCATTTGAATTAATCATTCCACATTGTACGTGTATGTGAGTGTGTGTGTATGTGTATGTGTGTGTGTCAAAACATAAAATTGTATTGCAGGAATGTATACAACTACAATTTTTCAATCAAAAAGAACATTGATTTTCAAAAGAATAAATAAGATTACTAAAGTCTACATTAAAAAGAAAACTTTTACCTATACATCTGGTAAAAATATCCTTTAAGCATAAAGAAGGAATAAAGATTCCCAAGTAAAACAAAAGCTGAAGGATGTCATCAATACCAGATCTTTCCTACAGGAAATGCTAAAGGAAGCACTTCAATTAGAAAGAAAAGGATATTAATGACCAATAAGAAATCATCTGAAGGTACAAAATTCACTGGTAATAGAATATTATGACACTTAACTGTGTAATACACAGTTATAATAATACACAAAATATTATAACACTGTAACTGTGGTGCATAAACTACTCTTAAGTAGAAATACTAAACAGTGAGCTAATAAAAAACAATAACTACAACCACTTTTCAAGACAGACAGGACAACAAGATATAAATACAAACAACAAAAAAGTTTAAAAGCAGGAAGACAAAATTAAGATGTAGAGTTTTTATTAGTTTTTTTTTTCTCTTGTTCACTTGTTTATGCAAACTGTGTTGTTATCAGCTTAGAATAATGGGTTATAGGATAGTATTTGCAAGCTTCATGGTAACCTCAATGAAAAAATATACAACAGATACACAAAAAATGAAAAGCAAGTATTTAAATCATATCTCCAGAGAAAATCACCTTTACTGAAGGAAGACAGGAGGGAAGGAAAAAAGGAAAAGCAGATAACAAAACAACCAGAAAACAAATAACAAAAGTCAGAAGTCCTTACTAATCAATAATAACACTGAATGTAAGTGAACTAAACTCTCCAATCAAAAGACATAGAGTGGCTGAACAGATAAAAAAATAAGATCCATTGTACTGTTGTCTCCAAGAAACATACTTCCCCTCTAAAGGCACACATAGATTGAAAATAAAAGGGTAGAAAAAGATAATCCATGCTAATGGCAACCAAAAAAGAACACTAGTAGCTATACTTATATCAGACAAAATAGATTTCAAGACAAAAACTGTAAAAAGAGTCAAGATCACTAGATAATGGTAAAAGGGGTCAATTCAGTAAAAGGATATAACAATTGTAAATATATATGAATTTTTTGAAAATTTAAATATATATGCACTGTAGCATCCAGATATATAAAGAAAAATTAGAGCTAAAGAGTGAGACAGGCCCCGATACAATAATAGCTGAATACCTCGACATCCCACTCTCAGTATTGTACATATCTTCCACACAGAAAATCAACAAAGAAACATCAGACTTAATGTGTACTATAGAACAAATAGACCTTAAAACATGTTTTCAGAATATTTCATCCAACAGCTGCAGAATGCACATTCTTCTCCTCAGCACATGGATCGTTCTCAAGGATAGACCATATGTTAGGTAACAAGCAAGTCTTAAAGCATTCAAAAATATTAAAATAATATCAAGTGTCTCTTCTTACCAAAATGGAATAAAACTGGAAATCAGTAACAAGAGGAATTTTGGAAACTACACAGATACATGGAGATTAAACAATATGCTCCTGAATGACCAGTGAGTCAATAAAGAAATTAATGAGGAAATTAAAAAGTTCTTGAAACAGATGATAATGGAAACACAACATACCAAACTCTATGGGATATGGCAAAAGCAGTACTAATAGGGAAGTTTATAGTTATAAGTGCCTAAATGAAAAGAGAAGAAATACTTCAAATAAACAACCCAATGATGTATCTTAAATAACTAGAAAAGCAAGATCAAGCCAAATCCAATATTAGTAGAAGAAAAGAAATAATAAAGATCAGAGCAGAAATAAATGAAATTAAAATGAAGAAAACAATACAAAAGATCAATGAAACAAAAAGTTGGTTTTCTGAAAAGTTAAACAAAGTTGGCAAACCTTTAGCCAAACTAAGAAAAAAGAGAGAAGACCAAAATTAATAAAATCAGAGATGAAAAATTATAACTGATTTTGCAGAAATTTGAAAGCCCATTAGTGGGCTACTATAAGCAACTACATACCAATAAGTTGGAAAATTAATAAAAAATAGACAAATTTCTAGATATGTACAACCTTTAAGATTGAACCATGAATAAATCCAAAACCTAAACAGACTAATAACAAATAACAAAATAAAAGCTATAATTAAAACTTTCCCAGTAAAGAAAAGCCCAGGACCCGATGGCTTCACTGTTGAATTCTACAAAACAATACTACACAAAGACCAATCCTACTCAAGTATTCTGAAATATAGAGGTAGAGGAAATACTTCCAAAGTCATTCTACAAGGCCAGTATTACCCTGCTACCAAAACCAAAGACACATCAAAAAAAGGAAACTATAGGCCAATACCACCAATGAATAATGGTGCAAAAATTCTTAGTGAAATACTAGCAAACCAAATTCAACAACACATTAAAAAGATCATTCATCATGACCAAGTGGGATTCATGCCAGGGATACAAGAGTGGTCCAGCATATGCAAAGTCAATCAATGTGATACATTATATCAACAGAATGATGGACAAAAATCATATGAACCTTTCAATTGCTGCTGAAAAAGCATTTGAGAAAATTCAATATTCCTTTATGAAACAAAAAAAAAAAAGGAAAAACTTGGTATAGAAGTAACATACCTCAACATAATAAAAGTCATACATGACAGACCCATAGCTAGTATCATACTGAACAGGGAAAAATTGAAAGCTGAATTATCTAAGATCTAGAACATGGCAAGGAAGGCCACTTTCCCCACTGTTATTCAACTTACTACTGGAAGTCCTAGCTAGAGCAACCAGACAAGAGAAAGAAATAAAGGGCATCCAAATTGGAAAAGAAAAAGTCAAATTATCCTTGGTGGCAGATAAGATTTATGGTTGGAAAAACCTAAAGACTCCACCAAAAAGCTATTTGAACTGAATAACAAATTCAGTGAAGTTGTAGGATACAATATCCATATACAAAAATCTGTAGCATTTTTACATGCCAACGGTGAACAACCCAAAAAAGAAATTGAGAAAGTAATCCCATTTACAATAGCTACAAATAAAATAAAATATCTAGGAATTAACCAAAGAAATGAAAGATCTCTACAATGAAAACTATAAAACATTGACACAACAAATTGAAAAGGAGACCAAAAAATGGAAAGATATTTCATGTTCATGAATTGGAAGAATCAATATTGTTAAAATGTCCATACTTCCCAAAGCAATTTACAGATTTAATGCAATTCCTATCAAAATACCAATTACATTCTTCACAGAAGTAGAAAATACAATTTTAACATTTACATGGAACCACAAAAGACCCAGAATAACCACAGTCATCCTATGCAAAAGTAACAAAACTTAAGGAATCACGTTACCTGACTTCAAATTACACTACAGAGCTATAGTAACCGAAACAGCAGGTGCTGGCATAAAAACAGACACACAGATGAGTGGAATAGAACAGATAACCCATAAATAAATGCATACATCTACAGTTAACTCATTTTTGACAAAAGTTCCAAGAACATACACGGGGAAAAGGCAGTCTCTTCAATAAATTGTGCTGGAAAAACTGGATATACATATGCAGAATAATGAAACTGATCCCTATCTCTTGCCATATACAAAAATAAAATCAAAATTGATGAAAGACTTAAAGCTAAGGCCTCAAACTATGAAACCACTAAAAGAAAACATACCCCACAGGCACAGGCAACCAAAACAAAAACAGACAAATGGGATCACACCAAGTTAAAAAGCTTCTGCACAGCAAAGGAAACAATTAACAAAGTGAAAAGACAACTCACAGAATCGGAGAAAGCTAAACAACTCTATAGGGAAAAAAATCTAATAATCAGATTTTAAAATGGGCAAAAGATCTGAAGAGACATTTCTCAAAAGAAGACATACAAATGGAAAACAAGTAATAAAAAGGCATTCAATATTATTGATCATCAGAGGAATGCAAATCAAAACTACAATGAAATATCATCCCACCCCAGTTAAAATGGCTGTTATCCAACAGACAGGCAGTAACAAATGCTGGCAAGGATGTGGAGAAAAGGGGACCCTTATACACTTTGGTGGGAATGTAAATTAGTACAACCACTATGGAGAACAGTTTGGAGGTTCCTAAAAAAGCTAAAACTGGAGCTACCATATGATCCAGCAATCCACTACTAGATGTATACCCAAAAGAAAGGAAATCAGAATATCAAAGTGATATCTGCACTCCTGTGTTTGTTGTAACACTATTCATGATAGCCAAGATATGGAAGCAACCTAAGTGTTTCTCGACAGATGAATAGACAAAGAAAATGGAATACTATTCAGCCATAAAAAGGAATGAAATTCTGTCATTTGCAACAGTATGGAGGGAATTGAAGGTCATTATGTTAAGTGAAATAAGCAAGGCACAGAAAAATAAACGTTGCATGTTCTCACTTATCTGTGGGAGTTAAAAATTAAAACAATTGAATTCATAGAGATGGAGAGTAGTAGGATGGTTACCAGAGGCTGGCAAGGGTAAGTAGGTGGAGGGAAGGGAATGGCTAATGGGTACAATAAAATAAGATAAATAAGACCTAGCATATGCTAGCAGGACAGGGTGACTATAGTAAAAAAAATTAATTGTTCATATTTAAATAACTAAAAAGATGATAATTGTATTATTTGAAACATAAAGGAAAAATATTTGAGGTGATAGATACCCTATTTACTCTGATGTGATTATTTTGCATTTCATGCCTGTGTCAAAATATCTCATTAATGTATCCCATAAATATATATACCTACCATGTACTCACAAAAATTAAAAATTAAGAAAATCTACATTAGTTATAATAGAGAAGAAACAGAACCAAAGTTTTCAATGATAGAGAATTGGTTAACTAAATATGTCTATATGATAAAATACTGTGTAGGTACATTATATTGTAGACGAATATGTAAAATATTTTTCGATGAGTTGCAAAATAGAAAAAGCAGGATAAAAATGTTCAGTGTGATTCTATTTCTCTAATCAACTCTTTACACACACATACACCATAAGCACGCATACACACACACACACACACACACGAACACACATAAAAGATATTTTGTAATGTTAATAGTGGTTTTATCAAGGTACTGAGATTAAAAGTCATTTTTGTTGTCCCAATCCCTGTTTTTCAAGTGTTCTTCATTGAATTAATTTATTTTTGTGATTAATAAAAAAGAACAAAATAGTTTGATTTTTGTTTTTTTTCTTGTTTGTTTCTAAGAAAGCAAATGGCTTTATTATATTGGCTTCTCATCTTGTTCTTACAGGATTGGTAACTTATCTTGCCATTTTGATCATCTACTTTGTAGACTTACTGTCGCCATTAAGTCACGACACTAAGAAATGGCGTTTGCAACATCTTGTGCAACCTCAGTAGTGTAACCTATGGTGTTTCACTCATGATTTTATTTTATTTTTAAAGAATAAATGACTGAATGATTGGAAGCTGTCCCTTTGTCAAGAACCGTGAAGGGTCTGAGATTTACCCTATTTACAAACTATCAAGTTAGCCTGCCAATTTCATAGATAACAGGCTGAAGACTTCCCTTATTCTCTCTCTGTTATTTCTGCTCATTTCTGTCCCAGTGGCTAGAACTCCAGTGGAGTTGAGGCAGGGACTCCAGTTTTCTTTGTATCACCAGGCCTAGATTACATGATGTAATATTTAATAGCACTGACGATGGAATGAGGCTGCTGAGTTCAAAGTCTGGCTCTGTCACTCACAGTTTCCTTGACTTTGAACTCATTTACTAACCTCTTGGTGTGGCAGTTTCATCACCTTTAAAACAGTATCTATCTCACAGAATTATCTGGGAATACGACGTGTTCATATACATGAAGTAGTTTACAGAGTTCCTGACCCACAGAGAGCACAACAGAGGATGGGACAGAACAAATGTGATTAGAGAGTGGCCTTTGCACCCACTGGGAGTCGCCTTTCAGTGGTGTTTTCTGGGCCTTGTAAATCATTTATTCTAGACACATTGTTTGAGGGCTTATTCTATGGGCAGGAACAGTGGTGCTTCTGTTCTCAAGGCAGTTGCAATCTTATAGTAATAAATACATGAAAGTCACTCACCCTGTTAGGAAGGTTCAGGCATAAAAAAGCATCCAGTGAACCACATCTGTTTCTGTCTATTAAATTAAAAATGAATTCCCTATGCTAGCATTCAAATAAACTTATTTACTTTTCTTTTGTAAACTGCTTTCACTTTTCTGAAAACTATACCAAAGAAATAATTTCACTATTGCCCTGATTCTACCACATTTACTGAGCACACTGTATAAAGCACTTGGACAGGGGGAATGGATAAAGAATAATTCCTCTTTGTAAGGGGCATAGACTATTGGAGGTATTTTTCACTAAATATGATAAAATGCTCTGAAATATGTATACTGGAGTAGCAAGAGAAAGAGAAGCCATCTACTTCTTAAAGAGTCGAAGGAGACTTCCTAGAAGAAGAGGTGAATTATTAGGTTAAGTTTGAGTTAGCCAGATGCAGACCAACGAACCAACTTAAACAACGTCATCGAGGCATGAAATGGTATCAGAGGCGTTAACTGTGTTGAAAGTTTCTGGTCTTGCCTGTGTGAATGACTTTGAAACTCTCGGTGCTAAGCTTTGGAGGAGAAAGAAGACAGAAACCCTTGTATTTGTTATCTCTAGACTTTTAGTGTGATTGTCATTCAATGAAAGATTATAAAATTGCATTTCATGACATTTTTTCCTTTTGCCACTTGCCTCAAATTTAGTACACCACCATGCATTTCGATTTGGGATTTGCACTTGCTATATATTTAAAGAAAAAGGAAGTCTGAAAATGTGAGGTGATAAATCAAAAGCTACCAGAACCTCTTGTGTGCACTTAATGGGCAAAAAACGATCCCTTTTAAATGCAAATGTTGTTTACTTATATGATGAATGGGTTTTAAGTTCCATCCCTTTGAACTTTCTTTTTATTAGTAGTGTTAAAGGATGGTTTCAAATGAACCTCATTACCTCCTAGTGAGAGTCATACTAAAGTGAAGGTTGCCCAGCCTGTGGGAACTCTGCTGGCTTTTTTTCCAAATATGTAGCATTCCATGGAAGCATTGTACTCATCAAGAACATATTAAGTGTAAGAGAAAGATAGCATTGACTTTAAGGTATCAAAAGAAACACAAAGTTAAAAAATTTAACCAAGACAGCTACAAATGGATTGTAAAAAAACATCCCACACCTAGAAAATTACATGATGAAGATCCTCTGGCAGTTTTCACATCAATCTTTTTGGAGTCCCTTATTGCTTATGGAAAAATTATAGGTCAAACTGGGAGGCTAGAGTCAGATATTCATAATTATCTTAAACTTTTAATTTTGAGATAGTCATATATTCATATGCAGTTGGAAGAAACAGTATAGAGAGACCCCAAGTCCCCTTTACTATGTTGCCCCCAATGATTAAACATCTTCCAAAACTATAGTACAATATCACATTCAGGATATCTACATTAATGTAGTCCAGATACAAAACATTTCCATCACAAGAAAGATCCTTTATCTTGCCCTTTTACAGTCACCTCCACTCCTCTTATATGCCTCTCTATGCTCTACTCCCTTCCACCCTGTCTTTAATCCTTGGCAATCACTGATACCTCCTCCATTTCAATAACTTTGTGACTTCAAAAATGTAATATAAACGGAATTATACCTTATATAATTATTTGAGACTGACTTTGCTTATCATTATTTTCTGGAGATTCATCCAAGTTGTTGTGTTTATCAATAATGTGTTGCTTTTTGTTGTTGAGTAGAATTTTATGGTATGGATATGCCATAGGTTGTTTAACCATTCACTCATTGACAGACAACTGGGTTGTTTCCAGTTTCTGGCTATTATTTAAAAAGTTATGAATATTTTATCAGGTGTGGTGTGTGTGTGTAAACATACATTTTTATTTCTCTGGAATAAATATACAGGGGTACATTTCCTGGGTCATATGGTAATTGCATGTTTAGTTTATTAAGAAACTGCAAAATTGTTTTCTAGAGTGGCTATATCATTTTACATTCCCACTAGCAATGTATAGGTGGGTGAAACAGTTTCTCTGCATTCTCACCAAAATTTTCGGTTGTCACTACTTTTTATTTTCATCATTCTAATAAGTATGTATAGATGTTCCATTGTGGTTTTAATTTGCATTTCCCTAATGGCTACATATATGAAATATCTTTTATGTGGTTGTTTGTCATGTATATTTCCTCCATGATGAAATGTCTCTTCATATCTTTTGCCCATTTTCTACTTGAGTTATTTGTTTTTTTGTTATTGTTGTTGTTTTTATACTACCAAGATTTAAGACTTCTTCATATATTCCAAGTATTCATTCTTTTTTTGGATAGTAGTTTGCAAAATATTTTCTTCCTGTTGAACAGCATGTTTTCAGAGCAAAAGTTGTTAATTTGATGAAGTCCCATGTATTAATTTTTCTTTTTATGGGTGGTGCCTTCAGTGTCAAGTCTAAGAACTCTTTGCCTGGCTCTAGATTCTAAAGATTTTCTCCTTTTTTTTTAAATGTATAGTTTTGAAATTTTATAGTGTCATTTCAAAGTTGGTGATATATTTTGTGTGTTTGGTTAGTGGGATGTTAAGGTCATTCTTTATTTGTTTATGGGTGTTTAATTGTTCCAATGCCATTTATTGAAAATGCTGTCCTTCCTTCACTGAATTCCTTTTGCAACTTTGTCAAAAATCAGTTGGACATAGTTGTGTGGGTCTATTTCTGGGTTCTGTATTCTGTTTCAATGATTTGTCTATCCCACCAAATAGTCTTAATTAGTTAGTTGTGTCATAAGTCTCGAAATCATGTAGACTGATTCCTTTCACTTGATTCTTCTTTTTCAAAATAATTTTAGCTATTTTAGTTCCTTGACTTTCCATCTACATTTTAGAGTATTTTTCTCTATATAAGGCAAAAATGTTGCAGAGATTTTGAAAGCGATTATATAAAACCTGCATGTCGATTTGGGAAGAATTGGCAGCTTTACTATTTTGCATTTTCCAATGTATAAACACAGTATGTTTCTCCATTTATTTATTCTTCTTTGAATTCTTTCATCAGCAATTTGTAGTTTTAAGTTTACACGTCCATATATATTTTGTAAGACCACCTGGGTGTTTCTTTTCTTTCTTCATTTCTTAGTGATTATAAATGATATTCAATTCTAGTATGTACATGCTCATTGCTGTTATATGAAAATATGATTAATTTGTGTACATTTATCTTGTATCCTGTAACCTTGCTGAACTCACCTAGTTGTTTTGTTATTTAGATTCCTTAGGACAGAGGTGTCCAATCTTTTGGCTTCCCTGGGCCACATTAGAAGCAAAAGAATTGTCTTGGGCCGTACATAAAATCCACTGACATCAACAATAGCTAATGTGCTAAAGAAAACAAAAAAATCACAACAAAAATCTCATAATGTTTTAATAAAGTTTACAAATTTGTGTTGGGCCACATTCAAAGGCATCCTGGGCCACATTTGGCCTGAGGGCAATGGGTTGGACAAGCTTACCTTAGGATTTTCTGTATAGAACATTATGTTACTTGCCGATAAGGATAGTTGTTTTGTTTTGTTTTGTTTTGTTTTCTTTCAAACCTGGATGACTTTGATTTTCTTTTCTTGTCTTATTGCAATGGCTAGAAATTCCAGTACAACTTTGAATGAAAGTAATGAAAGCAGAAAACTTTGCCTTATTCCTGGTTTTAGAGAAAAGCATTCCATTTTTTACTCTTAAATTTACTCTTAATGTTTTATACTCTTCATGTTAGCTTTAGTTTTTTTGTAGATGCTTTCCTTCAGGTTGAAGAAGTTTCCCTCTGTTTCTAGTTTAATGAGAGTTTTTATCAAAATGGGTATTGAGTTTTTTGAAATGCCTTTGTTTGTATTAATTAACTGAATTTTCTTTTTTGGTTTGTTAATATGGTGAATTATGTTACTAATTTGTAAACCTTAAACCAATCTCGCATTTTGGAATAAATCCTATTTGGTCATGGGGTATAATTATTTTTCTATATTGTTGGATTCAGTTTGCTAATATTTAGTTGAGAGTCTTTCTATCTAAGTCGATGAAAAATACTGGTCTCTAGTTTTCTTTATTTGCACTGTCTTTGTGTAGTTTATTATCAGCTTCATAAAATAAATTGGAAAGTAACTCTTCTCTTCCATTTTCTGGTAGATATTGTGTAGAACTGCTGTTGGTTTTTTAAATGTTTTGTACAATTTTCTAGTGGAAATATCTGGGACTGCAGATTTATTTTTTGGAAATTTATTAATTATGAATTCATTTGCCTTAATAGTTGTAGTGCTATTCAAATTTTCTATGTAACATTAAATGAGTTGTGGTAGTTTGTGCTTGCTTTTCAAGAAACTGACCAACTTAGTTGTCAAAATATGTGTGTAGTGTTGTTTGTAGTATTTCCTTATTATCCTTTTGATATCTGCAAGGTATATAGAAAATGTCCTCAGTTTCATTTCTAATATTGATAATTTGTTTCTTTGTTCTTATTTTTGTGAGTCTTGCTATAGGCTTGCCAATTTTATTGATCTTTTCAAAGAACAAGCTTTTATTTCGGTGAATTTCTCTATTGGCTTTCTGCTTTTTGTTTCACTGATTTCTGCTCTTATCCTATTCTTTCCTTCCTTTTGCTTACTTTGGATTTATCTGATTCATGTTATTTTAGGTTTTTGAGGTATACACTGAGATTATTTTATTAGAAACCTTTCCTCTTTCCTATGTACACATTTAGTGCTATATATTTTTCTCTCAGCACTGATTTATCAGTGCCCTCACAATATTGATCTTGCAGTTTCATTTAGTTAAATATATATTTTCTATGTTTTAAGACCTCCTTTTTGACCCATGGATCATTTAGAAATGAGTTGCTTAATTTCTAAATCTTTGAAGTTTTTCTTGTTATATTGTTGTTGTTTTTGATTTCTACTTTAATTCCATTGTTCAGGTTTTGCAGCTGAGGAGAATAGGAGATCAGTCTCAAATCCACCCGCCTCGGCCTCCCAAAGTGCTGGGTGCTGGGATTATAGGAGTGAGCCACCATGCCCGGCCTGCCAAGCCTTTTTATTTTTCATTAGTTTCCAGCATGTTCAGTATTTCTTGATGGAGCATTTTATGATGGCTGCTACGAAAATCTTTGCCAACCTCTTGTCATCTCAGCATTGATATCTATTGATTGTCATTTTTCATTAAAGTTGACATTTTCCTGGCTCTTTTAATAATTTTTTAAAACTGAAACCTGAACTCTGCAAATAAGAACCTACTTCATATTTAAACCTTCTGTTTTAGAAGTTTACTCTGATACCACTTCAGCAGGGAAGAAGTGCTCCTTCTTCACTGATGGCAGATGTGAGTAGAAGTCTGGGTTCCCCTCTGGGCCTCCACTGGCCACCTAGGGTGGGAGAAGTTTCTCGCACTGTTGGGTAGGGTTTGCAGCTCTGCCTCTCTTCTAGGCCTCCACTGCCACCTCCCTGGCCAGAAGTGGGAGATTTCCCTATTTACTGCTGGATGGGGGTGGGTGAAATCCAGGGTCACCACATTGTATTCCCTAACACTGCCAAAAGAGTGGGGGCTTGTTATCATCTAGCAGGAATGATAGTCCCAGCTCCCCACTTGGTCTCCTCTGACCTCACCCTGGCAGGCAAGTTAGTGTACTTCATTACAACCTGGTGAGAGTGGAAGTCTAGGTTCCCCACTCAAAGTTTACTGCTATGTGTGTGGGTGGTGCCACAGTCTTTTCCTGTGGCGTTTGGCTATACTAGAGTATCTATTGCCTACATTTTGTTTCCTCTTAATGGGCTGCCCCTTTTCTGGTCCTTTGACTAGAAAGAGAAGGCTGTGGTTGGGGCTTTTTGGTCAACATCCATCGCATTTCCAAGTTGCTGGCTTCCTCAGCTCTAACTCTGAGTTATATGAGGCAGAAAAACAAAACAGGGAACTCACCATATCTTTCCTTGACTCTAAACTTCCCTAGATGGCCTTTTTTTAAAAATTTCCATATATGTTTTGCTTGCCTACTATTCACCTTTGGATCCCTTACCCTAAACAGTATGAGATGGCCAAAAACTTGACACCTGACAGTTGAGACCAACAGCTATTCATGACTCACATATACTCACTCACAGCCACCCTGAGCAGGAGGGTGCCACATGGCATGCAGGGCCACATTGGAGTTGCACTTGGGAACAGAGTGAACCAGTCGAGGCTATGGAAGGCAGGCTTTGTAGCAGCAAGAAGTTGAGGTGCCCCGTGGTCCCCATGGGAAGATGTGATTAGCTTATCAGAATAAGTTTGCAGGCAGGAGGAGAGTGAAAGCCATTAGTTTGAGGACTGGGTGTGGTAAAGCTGATCTTCCTGATAGGGAGACTACCTGGGTGAGGAGCCTTTCCCATGGAGGGGATGGGGGCATATCTGGAGAGAACAGGGGGACTGCTCTCCTAGTTTCACATATCAGGGCAGATAATATGGAATCTTAATTTCAGCCTTACACTGTAAAAATGTCCAGAATTTTTCATTGCATTTAGCATGAGGAATAGGGAAAAGAATGTCTATTCCATATTCTTGGAAGTGAAAGTGATCTTTATAATTTAACCATATATTTTCTGAAGAAGTTTTATCTTCTGGACAAATATGCCAAAAAACTTATTATCGCTTTCCTCTATGTGAAGATTATTATTTTCTATAGATACCAGATATTTAACACTTATTTATAGCAAAATTCATTTCCTTATGCCAGGGCTGAGTCACCACCTACTCAGTCCTCTAACTTTTTTTCATCTCTCTTCCAAATCACTGGCAACTTTAACATTACAGAGAAGCATAGCGGTATGCCTTCTGCTGCAGACTGCCCACTGAAGAACTACAGTGCTTCAGGGACAAGAAGCTGTTGAAGATCAATTTTAATCCATGGAGAAATGCCCTTTAATTTACCAATAACAAATTTTAAAAAATCTTTCTACATCCTTATACAATCCCTAATTTTTTGCATAAAGTGAAGTCTGATTAATAGTGGTACCCTGCAGTAGACTATTTGCTGTAAGAAATAACATAAAGTAAGTATATAAACATAGAACTTTTGGTCCAAGATAGTTATTATAATGTCAAAATTGTTTTAAAGGATATTTAAGAAAGTAGAGTCATTGTAACCAATGTACTAGAATATATGGATTTTCCTTTTTCTTATTTATTTCTCTATTTACTTACTAAAATTGAAGTTAATAAGAGAACAATTTTATTTCCACATGAAAAGTCACACATATTCATCCTTCAAGTAGACGATGATAATATAAAACCCCAAAGTATGAATAGCTCAAGCTTAAACCACATCAACAAGAGTATTATTATTTTGAAATTTATAAAATCTTTATGTACAAACAGTAGGTAGCCAAATTTAATACTTATAATTTTACAGATGTTCTTGAAAATGTCAGATTGTTCACTAAGAAAAATCCTGGAAGAAATGCGAAGAAGGAAAAAAAAAGAACAGAAAGAAAAAAGAATAGGAAATACTTCATATACAGATTATCTATTCTACAGTCAAATTAAACATGCAACTGTTTATCTCAGTCCTGAGAACAAAGTGCTACATCTGGCAAAAAGCACATGTACAATATATATATTTTGAATATTGGCAAATTGAAAAAAAAAGTTTTAACTCCTCTTCTTCTAATTGTCTTTATTGTGAAGCCTGATTAATTTTGGGGAAAAAATTGCAACTTCTAAGGCATTTTGGGATTTCATCCACTTCCTGATTTTAACATTATATTTTCTTTTTTTTAAAGAATCTCAAAGTTGTTCTTACCTAATTAAATATGAGAATATACATAGTATCTTATCCTCTGTCAAAGTATAAAATGTATAGTCCTAATTAAGTAGATACAGCATCCTGAATAGTTTTTATATTTTCCAAGTATATATTTAGCTCTTATTACTGAATATCATTTCCACTATAACCTATGCAGTAAATTGGCAGGTATAAGTTACCCTTATTTTACAGCATAGAAACAAGTATGGAGAGGTTGAATGGAAGGACAAGAGGGCACAAACGACTGAAAGCAGACAAAATCCCAGCCTGCTGACTTCTTACATGGAATTTTCTCCCACTAGATTCTTAGTTCCTTATCAGAAGAGAGAGAGGACTGCTAAAAAGGTCATAAAGATTTTGAGAGGCATCCTGGAAATTATATGCATATGTACTAAACACTATCTGGAGACCTAATAAACATCTTTCACATATACATATAATCATTCCCAAATATATATAAAGATGCAATTACAATTAACTAAATATACATTCACTTTAAGACATTACTGAATGTATATTATCCATGTGTAAATTATAAAACAATGGAAACTAAAAAGGCTTCTCAAATATTGAGTGAATACTTTTTTTTAATGTCAAGAGTCTCTAAATTAAAAAAGCATGGAAATCACTTCTTTAAATCACTGTATTCTTAAAACAAAGGATCTGGTAAGGGGAGCTTAGTTAATATCCTGCCTCACTGATATCCTATATACCATATCATATGAAAAGAAAGGAGGGACATAAAAAGGATTTTACAGCTCATCTCTAAGTTAGTTCCAAAAGAGAGGATAAAGGAAGGAGTCCTCCTGGCTGGTATTAGCTTACTATAATCTGGAATACATTGGTGAATTAAGTAGCTTTTCACTTACAAATTTCTTTTATAAAAACAGGATGAACGGGCTGCAAACTATGGCCAGCAATAATAGAAAAGCAGTCAGGAGACTAGCAATCATAATGATAATGCTACATTTCAACTGGGTACCCCCCATAAAACCAAGGAAACAGCTAAGGACAATTCTAAATGATCCATTAATATGTGTCACACTACCATGCAGCACTTTTCTCCTGTGCTTAAAACATATTTGAATATTAACAACGATGGCTGCATCTTAAATTTAGTGGCATTGATTAATTTTAGGTGTGGCCATTAGCAGAAGATTCAAGTCACCCCATCTCACGTGAATCACAAAAAGTAAAGGGGAGGGGGCACTCCTGTCTGGGCTTTGTGTTCACAGCAATTAGTTTTAACTGTCTGGAAGCAGACTTCAAATCATTTTATAGCTTGTGCTAGATCTCTGTTATTTACCATGTGTGCCCTTCCTATTTTTATGGAAACCAGGATCTCATTCTGAAGGCTCCTGCCTGTCAGGGCTGCAGGTGAAGGCCAGCTGGGGCCAATGCACTTTGTGCGAATATTAGCATCTGAAGAGGGTCTCAGGGGGCCTTGCCTCTTTGGGGACTTAAAGCTGTAGTCAGATGCAATATTCCTGCCTCTAAGTTCCCTTGCTAGCAAATCCAAATCTTTAGGAAAGGAGCAGTCTCGATCTGGTGGCTGTAGTCTGAGCATTCTGAGGTGGGGAACAAACAGAAAAGAAGGTAGGGAAGAGAGGAAACTCCAGAGTATTTGGTTAGGGTTTGACATTAGGGGAATGAAGGAAACAATGGGGCAGGCTAGAGGTCCAAGGCTGTGTGCTCTGTCAGAGAGACTAAAGTTCATTAGCAATTATTTCCAGGTCCCTACGGCTATGTATTTATGATTTCACACAACACACAGGCTGCCCTTGATTAGTGGGTGTGATAGTATTAATACTTCCATGATGGCAAATGCTAGCTTGTAGGAAATCACAGAAAAACACTCCCGTGTCAATTATTAATGTTAACCACACAGAGAGAAATCGAAGTTTAATTAATTCCTGAATTGAAGGAGAAAAGAGAGTTAATCCGGTTTCCAGTATCCTGAGCCTTGTAATTCTTATGAAGGCAAATCTTCCATGAAGAATATCAAAAATTATACACACAAAAAATATTCAGATCCAGGCAGCTTTTTATTGGAAGTAAAGTTTAGCATGCTCATATTTCCACCTACCTACTTAAACAAAGGGGTGTTTCTTGACCTTTATTCCTACCATCTACCTGAAAATTATATCCAATCTCTTTAATATTCTACTTAATTGAAGTCTGAGGATCACAAATAAGTAATTAGAACACAGCAATTAATTGAAACCAAGAAGTATGCATTCAGTAGGTTTGAATAAAAATCAAAGGATTTTATTTCTGTAAGATACCTTAGTGATCATAACAACATTATCTTCTTATCTTGCAGAGAGAAAACTGAGGGCTGGAGTATAGAGGCAATTTGAAAATGCCCAGATTTCCTGATGACTGAATGTCAGCTGATGCTTCATTAGAAAGGAAAGAAGGTGACAGATTATGTTTTGGGAACTATACAAGTAAGCATTTTTGCCTTCTTAATGTGTTTTGAAAAATCAGAAGTATATAATGTATATTGAATTTAAACATATATAAATTGAAGAACCATGAATAGCTCACTGATCTTAATAAATGGACAGCATTACTGATGCTCCCACGGTAACACTCCCTGTTCATAACTTTCTCTTTTTCCTTGTGAAAGAAGGGACACGGAACTCTTTTGGATTTTGCTTTCAACATTTCCCTGCTTGCATTTGTAGTATTACTACTTAGGCTTTCATAAGTGAATGATTTCATACTGGAGGCATTCATTTACAACCAGCCCTCTTTACTGTTTTTCAGATTCATCAATTTCATGTTAATTCATATGCTATATTAATGTTTGCTACTGTATAATATTCAAGTGTGTAATAATGCTATACTTTATCTCTTTTCTTACTCTGTAGATAAAGTATACCTAGTTACTGGGGCTAAAACTGAGATGACCTGTGTCAACATAATGTAATTGTTTGCTCTAGGTAAACATCATGAAGAAAGATGTGATAGCAAGACCCTTGCCCATCATGTTTAGCAGTTCTAAATTACCATGTATCAAACTTTGCCTGATACCAGCTAGTTTCTTGCTTTGAAAGATCTACCCAAACCACTAAGCCCAGATATCAAAGCCCTATAATCATCCTTTCCTAACTTCCTCCTTTTGAATTATTACTAACACTTTGAAAAGGGGACATTCTTCCTTGCAATAAATAACTGCACTGTTATCTTTAGAAAATTCTTGCACTTTACTTTATCCAGGCAAATAGTTTGCAAATTTGGAAAAACAATGGTTTTATAAGGACAAGAGTTTGCTATCTGGGTACAGAGTGAGCTTATCAGAACAATAGCAATGGAAAAAATAATTGATTCACAAGAGTCAGAAAAAGAAGAAAAGGGATCCAAGAAGACATGGGACAAGTATAAAACAGCTAGCAAGATGGTAGATTTAAATACAATCATACTAATCATAACATTAAATGTAACTTGTTTAAATACTGCAAGTAAAAGACAGAGATTGTCAAGCAGGGTAACAACCATAACTATTTGTCATCTATAAAATACCAACTTTTATTGTAAAGAATAGATACGTTAATGCTAAAAACAACATGAAAAAAGACATTATATGAAAACATTAATCAAAAGAGAGATGGAAAAATTAATGTGAGACAAAGTAGACTTCAGAACAAAGAATATTAATTACCAGAGAGTACGATGATTACAAAATCATAAAGGGATTAATTTATCAAGAAGACACACAATATTAAATGTGTATGCATCTAACAGTAGAACTTAAAAAAACATGAAGCAAAACTCATAAAAGTGAAAGATTAATTATATAAAATAATTTATAATTAAAATAGGATATTTTAATTGCAGTCTAATTATATTATCACACTGGGCAGGGTGGCTCACATCTGTAATCCCAGCACTTCAGAAAGCCAAGATGGGTGGATCACTTGAGCTCAAGAATTTGAGACCAGCCTAGGCAACATGGCAAAACCCCATCTCTACAAAATATACAAAAATTAACCAGGCTTGGTGGCATGTGCCTGTGGTCCCACCTATTTGGAGGCTGAGGTGGGAGGATCAGTTGAGCCTAGAAGATGGAGGTTGCGGTAAGCCAAGATCATGCCACTGCACTTTAGCTTGGGCAACAGAGCAAGACCCTGTCTCAAAAAATAAAATAAAATAAAATATCAAAATTATAACAAAATGTCAACACTTCTCTCTCAATTGGCAGAACCAATAGACAGAATATCACTAAAGAGATGGAAAATCTGAACAACACTGTAAACCAATTTAATTTCATTTATATTCTACTCAACAACAGCAGAATAAATCATCTTTTCAAATATACATGGAACATGTCCATGGACCATAACACTAACCTTGACAAATTTAAAAGGACTGTAGTCCTATAAATTCTGTTATTTAATCACAAATTGATCAATGTAGAAATTGATAACAGATAGATATCTGGAAAAATCCCAAAATATCTGGAAATTAAATAATGTATGTTTTACTTCTGTTCCCAGTAATGATGGGCTCCCCCACTGAAAGTAACTGGAAAATAATACACATAATAGAAAAACAAGTAACTGAAAGCTCAGGCTGGAGAAGACTACAAAGAGGGAGGACAAGGGGACTAAACCTGAGACCTCCCAACATAGCTCTTAGACTAAAAAATGAGATGGCTTGGGTCAACATAATTTTACTGTTAGCATCGGGAATTTCTTGCTGTTAGTCCATTTTGTGTTGCTATAAAGGAATATCTGAAGCTAGGTAATTAATTTGAAAAAGAGGTTTATTTTGCCTCACAGTTCTGCAGGCTGTACAAGATGCAAGATGCCAGCATCTGCTCCTGGTCTGGCCTCAGGGTGCTTCCGATCATGGCAGAAGGAGAAGGGGGAACCAGTGTATCACATGGTGAAAGAGAGCAAGAAAGAGAGAAGGAGAGTCCCATACTCTTAAACAACCAGATCTCTTGTGAACAAACTAAAAACTCATCACCAAGGGGATGGCACTAAGCTATTCATGAGATATCTGCCCCCATGATCCAATACCTCCTGTCAGGCCCCACCTCCAGCATCTATCAGGGATCACATTTCAACATGAGATTTGAAAGGTATACACACCCAAACCATATTACTTGCATACCAATTTACTTGAGCGGTTTGCTTATATGGAAAAAAACAGCTCTCTTATTAGGACAATGGTTTACTCAAAAGAACTTAAGACCCTTGCCCATCATGTTTAGCAGCTCTAAATTACTATGTATCAAACTGCCTGATGCCAACTACTTTCTTGCTTTGAAAGACCTACCCAAACCATTAAGCCCGGATACCAAACCCTATAATCATCCTTTCTTAACTTCCTCCTTTTGAATAATCACTAAGACTTTGAAAAGGGGACATTCTTCCTTGCAGCTTTAAGTTTGATATATTCAGATTTGCTTAATAAACAGGTTTTCCTGGAGGAATCTAAAATGCACACTTTTGGGGAGGCAGGTATTATCTTTTTCCAATTGATTTATGATTCCTTATATACTCTGTATAGCAATAGGTTTCAAACTTCTCCTAATTTGTAGCTTGTCCTTTTATTTTAAAAATGGTTTCCCTTGAGGAACCAATGTTTTCATTTCAAATGGAGATAATGATATTCATAGGATAATTTTAAGTGCTATTAGGAAAAAACACAATTACTTCAATTATTTTTGCATCAACCTAATATCTAAGAAAATGCATGTAAATTACTATTACAGTATACTCCTATTGTGTAAGTTCTCAAAATTCCCTATACAAATTTGGGAAGAAGATAATGTTTGTTTTTGATCATTAATACTTAGTGGTCTTGTGCTGCCTCAGCAAGACCTTGGATTTCAAAGCCTTCTGATCTTTCATATCCGTAAAGATGCTCCTGTGTCCAGTCCCAGCAGCTTTATTGGGTTAGTCCATTTTGTGGTTTGTCCAACACAATGGACCAACACAAGCCTGCAGCTCCTCTGATGAGGAAATTCATGTGTTCATATTAATGTGCCATGATATCTTAATGAGCCCTATTTCCTTTCTCCAGGTAGCATTGTCCCTCTGAAATGAGTTTCCTCATCTGTAAAACAGGAATAATATCTCATCTACTTCTTTCACATAGGTCGTTGTATGGGGTCAAATGACATCATTAAGGAGATATATAATCATGCTTGCTTTTAAACCAGGCCTTCAGGAAGTGACAGTAATGCCCCACTTAATAAGGATAGAAATTTCTGAAGTAAAAATGTTTTGAAATAAGTCAGGATTTGCACAAACAAAATGAATACATGTGGGTATTTCAAGCATTTTGACCAGATATTGAGAGATATTCTTATAGAAGACAAAGCTTTCAATTGTACCTCAAATAATGAATCTTGTGTTTGGAAGGGGCCCTAAGAGGCCACCTCACCAGGCTCACTCTCACCTGCCTTTATGCATGACAATGCAGGAATCTCTTCCATAGCATTTCGGAGTCACTCCTATAATTTTCTGTAGTCTTCTTGATAATTCCAGAAACAGGAGATTCACTGTAATAAGGGCAGACCATTCAAGTATTAGATAGCTATAATTGTTGGCCCCGGTCCTCATTTTATGTTCTTGAGCACTCCATGGCAATCTATATGTTCCAGACCCCACAATATGCTCTAGTTCTTCAGGCATGCGTCCACCTCTTTCTCTCTTTAACTTGTCTGAGCTAAACATTCTTAGCACTTTCTCTGGTTATGGAAAATGGCTCCAAATACCTCACCATTGTCCCACTATTTTAGAAGCCTTTGGTATCTCCATATTCCCCTTTTTTTCCTAACACTTAGTAACTTTCTACAGGGAAAATCTTGCCCCAGCCATAGGAAGATCAACTCCATTTACTAACAACCACTCAAAATATCCTTCCCAGCTGGGAAGGTGATGTGAAGACAAAAAGGATGGAAAAAACAACCTATTCATGTAAAGCTTCTCCAATGCACATACTCTGTCTTTCTCAAGGCCTTTCTATCTAGAAACCATGAAATAAAAGTGGTAGAAAGCCGGAGCAATCTGATAATTCGGTTAAATGTCTACAGTATGTGCACACCATATGGATCGCTAACTGCAGAGGAGGAGATCAGTAGCACAGTCCTGTTAACTAACTTGAAAAAAGGGAGAGGGAAAAGACAACCTAGTCCTTCACATCCTGCTATTTGATCATTTTCCAATAAGTGTGCTTGGGTAGGCTTCAGCTCACTTGAGGGTTTCCTTAATGTACAGCCATTGTTCAAGGGAGAGTAATTAGAAACAAGTAATTTGGTTTAATGTAAACGTTTGAAAAATCTCTTCCAGCTCCCTGACTCAGTGATTTCTGTGATAAGCTCTCTCAAAGCATATTTTCAAATTCTTTTCACTTCCCACTCCCTCACCCTGATTACTTTTGAGATTTGGGGGCGCAAACTATTCCTGACTCTGCTTCTCAAGGCTGGGATACAGTGACGTTCCTCTACATTACTTTATAATACTGCATCGTAATAGTAGGTTTGCTTGCCAGTCACTTTGATTAAACTAAAATTCTCAAAGTCTGGAACATCATCCTATTCAATTTTGTATCTCTCATACCTGGCACATTGTCTGATACTTATTGTACCTAATAGACATTTTACAAATGACTGCTAAATGATTGAATAAATAAAGAATTCAGAAAAACCACTAGTGTTCTTCTTTCTTTGATATTTCTTTTGTCATTTCAGAACATTTTCTTTCACACTAAACCAATGTATATCTAGTATCTGGTGTTTGAGAGGGACTATGTTAGATTCTATGAACATACAAATAGCTTTATAATTGCATAGGACATGGTGATCTTAATGCCTTCCATAGCTAAGCCATCCTCTGGTGGAACTCATCCAGATGATCTATTACCCATGAGTCACCATGGTATGGTATTACATGACTGCATTTCTTCAGTCATCACAGATTGTATAGGAATCAGTGCCTGACAAAAATATGACTAGCTGATCTCTGGCCAGTGATCTCTGAGGTGTTATTGTACATGAATGATAGTCAACAATGGCTCATTGTTCTGAGTGGTGACTGATTTAAATCTCTTGGGAAAATTGCATATGATATGCATTTAAAAATGGGAGTCAGTATCAGAAAAATCAGCTGTAGTAGAAGAGAGAGACAGAAGTTGAAACATCAGACTGGTAAAGCACCATCATCAGGGAGGAGGGACTGGCCCAGTGTAAAATGGCCAATAGGAAGCTTCTGGGAGTATTTTCTATCTTCTTACTGCTCTGTGTATTCTTGTAATTAGCCCCATTATCTGAGCCAGGCATAGTATGGTTCTGCTTCTCACCATGGGAAAGAGCCTGATTAATTCACCAGTATAGCCGCCTGCCATCAAGGAGCTCAGCTATTGGAGCCCAGTGGGAAGATACGCTCAGCAATGAATTAATGCACTGTTTGACAATCACAGGCTGGAAGTATGCTGGAAATACAATGGGGCTTGGATAATTGTAAAGGAAGAGGCAAAGTAAGAAAGCATTACTGCTAAAGCAGGTTACTCAAAATGAGGTCTTTCCCTGTTTGGTGCCATGAAGACAGTATGCAAAACTGAAGTGTCAAGCAGTATAGGCTTTAATCAATAGCCATGGAATTGGGAAGCAAGAGCTTGGCTCACCAATCAACTTCTCAGCTTGTGAGAGCAGGAAGTCACAAATACAGGGCTTTTAATGAAGGGGTTGGGCATAAAAAAACAAAGGGAGGAATTCATGTCTGTTCTGGTAATGGGCAGAGAACTCCTTGAAACTGGAGTGCAGCTTTCCTTTTGGTCATTTTATGGTTTCTTCTGGTCATTGTCATGGTGATTGTCAACTGTCATGGTGCTGGTGGGAGTGTCATTTATCATGGAAATCAGATTATAATGAAGTTAGAAGTTTTTCAGAGGTTGAGCTACCATCTTGGATCCCACGAGTTTATCCAGTTTGGTCACAAGAGGGAAATTTTGACCTCAGGCATCCTGTATCCTAAAGATAAGCAGAGTTAAGGTGAGGTAGAAATGCATCTACGTCACGTAGGCATTACACTGGGTAACAAAAGTGCTTCATACAGAAAAGAATATTCTAATTGGGTTAAAAAAAATGGGTTGGGGGAGGTATTTGCAAGGAGGAAGAACCAGCATCAGCAAAAGCCCTGAAGTCTGAAATGGTGTAGGATATTGAGGGAATCACGAGTGACTATCCCTGTCCTCTGAGAGGTATTTTTTTTTTTTTTACCTCCACACATCAGCATACAACCTCAGTGCAAAGATATTGAAAGATTCCATTAACACCACATCTAAATTTCCTGACTTCCCATTTCCATCAGCGGCTAAATGAGCAGATGCTTTGGAGCCAGCATGTTTGGGTTCAAGTCCTTGCTCTGTTACATACTTATTTAAGTGATATTACTTCCCTTTCTTCACTTGTAAAATGGAGATTATATAAACAGTGTTTCTGTCAAGGACTTTTGTGAGGATTAAATGAAATAATACAAATGAAGTGCTCAGATTGGCATCTGACTCAGAGTCATTGCTATGTAGGTGTTGGCTGTTTTTACCCAGGTTCTTATTATCTTCATGCCCTTATGAGACCTGAAAAATTACCATTCTCCACAATTACTCCCCTCAACTACTTTTTATCTAGTTACTCTGTGTGTGTCTAACAGCTAAAATTTTCACTGCTTACCTTAGTCAGAAAGACCCTCTCTTAACTGTTCCCTGTTCCCCATGGGTTCTGACCTTGTGCTCCTCATCCCCAATCAGTACTAACCTTTCCAAGTACTGGAGTGTTTACTGCCAGGGATATGTTCTCAGGGCTATCAAGAAAGGTCCTACTTCACCCTCCACCTACCTTCATCTCTGCACTTGAATGCTAATTTCTAAAATTCTACTGCTAGAGCACATATCTTTCTTATCCCTTCTTGTTACAATAAAAATTTCCCAAGGAGGAATGTTATGAGGCAATTATAACTGTGTAAGCCTTGACTTGGTGGAGGTAAAGATGAATTTGAAGACCGGGAAGGTAAAGAGGGTATTACAGATCCACCATGTACGTATCACAATTTTCCCTTTCTAGATAAAGCATGAAATTTTAACAACAACCCAGGATACTTTGATATTATTCATCTATATTTGTAGCACATATCTACTTTCTTACTTTACACATATAGTATGTGTACTTTTTTGTGATTTGCTTTTTTCATTACATATAACTTTATATGTACCTCTTTCTACTGGTGGGTGTTTAGGTCACTTTCAATTTTTCCTTATTACAAATGATGAAGTAATGACTGTCCTGGTACAAATGGGCAAGAGTTTCTTCTGCAGTACAGATTAAATCCTTAGAATTTGATATAGCTAGGTCTGAAAGTATGCATACTTTAAATGATAGATATTGTAAAACCCTCTCCCAAAGTGTATTCTTTATTTCTACTCCAACCAGCTGTAGATGAGAGTGCCAGTAACTTCACATCATTGTCAACATTGAATATTATCAAAATTGTAAATTTAGCCAACTCTGATGGGTATAAAGTAACAAATCGCTGTTTCGTTTGTTATATTTCTGCTTATGGGTAAAGTTAAGTATGTTTGTTTTTTAATTCTTAAGTGAATTTCCAGTTTTTAAGTTCTTCCAATTTCTTAAGAAGAAAAAAAACCCCACAAAATTGTAATAATGCTCACTCTCCATATATAGGTGGGCCTCATCTAATCAGATGAAGGCCTTAATGGAAAAAGACTGACATTTCCTAAGGAAGAGAGAATTCTGCCAGTAGACTATCTTAGACTTGAACTGCCACATAAGTTCTTCTCTGGGTCTCTAGCCTGCCAAAGTACTTTGCAGATTTTGGACTTACCAGCTTCCACAATCATGTGAGCCAATTCCTTAAAGCGACAGAAAAAGAAGATCCTATTAATTCTATTTTCTCTGGAGGACCTCAGTTAGTATAGCACCTCTGTTCTTAATTTTCTTATGTTTTACTTTCCTGTCAAATGTCAATTTGTATCATTTTCCCTTGGTTAAAATTGTTTTTCTAATCAAGTAGATGGATTGACAAATAGACAAATAGTTTATTTCTGGCTATCTCCATTATATTATTCCATTTCATTTTCTCATTTTATTACTTGAATCAAGATGTTCAGCATGTTTCACAGTAATGACAGTGGACATTGCTACCATCTTAATGGCTTTTGTCGAATTACTGTTTCATCGTTAAGTATGTCTATTATGTTTTGTTGGTAGTTGCTTTATCAGCCTTAAAAAGTTTTTTTTATACTCTTACAATGTTAAGTCATTTAAAAAAATCTACATACATGTCAGATTTTCTAATTTGGGACGTTATTGAGATTTGTTGTTTAACCCATTTGTGAGCAATTTTATTTTTGATGTGAGTCAAATTTGCATTTCTACTTTAGCCCTAATTGATTCCAATGTAATTCTCTTTTAATACAATCCAGTATTCATTTGCTAATAGTTTTCTTGGATTTTTTTTCTTTTTTCTTTTTTTTTTTTGAGACAGGGTCTTGCTGTATTGCCCAGGCTGGTTTCCAATTTGGGGGCTCAAGTGATCCTCCCATCTCAGCCTCCTGAGTGGCTGAGACTGCAGGCATGAGCCATTGTCCCTGGTTTCACATTTTTTAATACATGAGATTTGGTTTTAGGTTTCTTTTCTCTCTGTGAATATACACTCTCCTCATCTGGCTTGTGGAAAATTAGTAGCTTTAAGTCATTTTCTATGCTCTGAAATAGTACAGAGAACAAAGGTATTTTTCTCAAGGAAATTTGGTAGAACTTATCCACAAAATTAATTTGACTTCGTGACTTTTTTTAGGTGGTTTTGACAGTTTTTCCATTTTTTCCCAAAGTTGTTTATCCCATTAGTATTTCTACCTTTTCAAGATTAATTTAAGTAGATAATATTTTTTAGGCATGGAGCTGTGCATATTATTCTCTAATAGCTTTAAATTTGCTTGATATCTGTATTTATGACTGTGTATACTTATTCTCTTATCTAATATTGCCTGTTTTGTGTTCCTTTTTAACATGATCAGATTTACCAATAGTTTTTCTATTTATTGATGATTAAATGAGCCAGATTTTTTAAACAGATCAAATTTACTGATTTAATATTTTCTATTTCATTATTACTAATTTAAACACATTCACTAATTATTTTCCTTCGGGCTCTTTGTGTATTTCATATTTGTTTATTTCTTTAGTTGAAAGTTTAACTCATTTAATTTTAAACCATTTGTTTCCAATATAGATATTTATGTTAAGAATTTTCTTGGGAATCTTTCCCCCTGTTCCATATATAGTATTATTTTTCTATATTTCTATCATTCTGAGAGATTTCAAAAAGGAAGAAAGGGTAGATACACATCTGATATCTTGATACAATCTCTTCTCCTATATCACTTACATGTGTTTCCATTTTAATTAGGTACCAGTTAGGTAACTAGTCCTTGAGCCAGTTTAGTTGTAAAGAGTTCACTTACAACAAGTGATTCAGGGCAGTGGCTCATGCCTGTAAGCCCAGCACTTTGGGAGGCTGAGACAGGCGGATCACTTGAGGTTTCTTTATACTCTTGACCAGCCTGGCCAACATGGTGAAACCCTATCTCTACTAAAAATACATAAATTAGCTGGGCATGGTGGTGGGAACCTATAGTCTTAGCTACTCAGGAGGTTGAGGCAAGAGAATTACTTGAACCTGGGAGGTGAAGTTTTAAGTGAGCCGAGATAGAGCCACTGCACTCCAGCCTGGGTGACAGAGTGAGACTCGGCCTCAGAAAGAAAGAAAAAAAAAAAGTGATTTAGAGGGTGCCATAGTCGTCATTATTTCTGCTCAGTAACTATTTTCTCTGCTGTCTGCTTTCTTGATCCTGCCCTTTGGATTTAAGCTTGGCCATATGATGTGCTGGGCTAATAAAATGTGAGCAGAAGTTAGTTGTGTCAGTAGGACATAAACTTTAAGAGCCATGATTTACTTTCCCTCTATTGTAAAGATTATAGAAGTAGGAGTCAAAATGCAGTATCTATCAGCATGGGCCCCTTATGACTAAAGTGAGCAGAATCACCTGCTTACCTTAAATAACATGTAACATAAGCAGAAATAAACTTTGGCCATGTTTAGCTCCTGAGAGTTCAGAGTGTTTGCTACCACAGCATATCCTATCCAATTTTAACCAATACTCAGATAACTCACTATCATCATCAGAGATCTAGAATTTCCCTTCACCAGAGATGTTACTTTCACAGTAAATGAGCAGGCATTTTTCACCACCACAGAATCACAAAAGGCAAGATATAGTTAAGTTCCCCATAAATGATTGGCTAGTTACATCTCTGGGTTATGAGAGATGACAGCAGAAAAAAAATATATATATATGTTAAAAATATATACGTTATAAAGATCTATTTATAACATATATATTTTTTTTAATTTTTTGAGACAGAGTTTTGCTCTTGTCGTCCAGGCTGGAGTGCAATGACACAGTCTTGACTCATTGCAACCTCCACCTCCTGGGTTCAAGTAATTCTCCTGCCTCAGCCTCCAGAGTAGCTGGGATTACACACACCTGCCACCATGCCTGGATCATATTTTTTTTGTTTTGTTTTGTTTTGTTTTTGAATTTTTACTAGAGATGGGGTTTCACCATGTTGGCCAGGCTGGTCTTGAACTCCTGACCTCAGGTGATCCACCAACCTCAGCCTCCCAAAGTGTTGGGATTACAGGTGTGAGCCACCATGCCCAGCCAAAAATATATTTTATTAGAAGAAAAGGAAAGAGCACTAGTATTGGTGGCTACCTACCTTTGTCTAATTCCAGTCCTTTCTCTGGCAGAACTGCAAGCACAGTAGGTGTTCAGTAGATAATTGTTGAAATTTAACTGAATGCTAATTCACCCAACTAATGCAGCTTCAAGGTATCCATTGCCAAGGTCACCTCAGAGGATCCTCTTTTCTGTGCACAATACTTACAGATCTGGGTAGGAAGGCAACATATTTGCTTTCTACCTATAATTTAGAAAGTCTTATACCTTTGCGTAAGATAAAAGCCACTAATTACTGTCCTTAAAAACCTCACAATTATTTTCTGAGAACTACCTTCTCCCATACCCAGAAGAATTGCAAAGAGAAAGAATACCTTGACTGAATGGACTCAGAGACAAAACTCAGTTCCCTCAATCATCCGAGAGTGTATCTACACTCATATTAGGCCATCATATTGATCTGCACATAGACACGTTTATGAGGTCATCTGTCTCTCTTAATAGACCACTCTCTCCCTACAGAGAGTGGGTAAGTATATCTTCATCCAATAGCAGTAGCAGAGGCTACTTCTCTAAAGAAATATGTTTTCACATTTTATAAATTTACAAGCATTTGTGACGATGTAGAATTTTTAAAAAAGTAAAATACCTACCAGGTATTTCAACATTATTATATAGCAATACCAATCATATCAACTTCTAAAATACTCATGGGCTGGATTAGACTTGGAAAACTAAAATAGACAAGTCAATTCCTTGTAAATTGTTGGAGTAATGAATCTACTACATCATTATTATTTGAAAATGAAATATTAGATGTTTAATGGTTGTTTGGTAACTATTAAATGCAAACTTCTTTATAAAGTATGGACATCAAAAAAAGTATTCATTATTTTTAAAGAAGCAAAGATTGAAAAATTCAGATTTGCTTTGCTAGGAAGAGTATTTAACCATGCTTAGTACAATATCACACCATAACAAACCCACATAACATTTCTCAGCAAACATACATTTTAGCAACTGATGATATTCAAATATTAGATAAATCAAATACTATTAAATGAGAGAAAAATTTTAAGGTATATTTTGAACCAAACTTGCTACTGCATTATGAGCACAAAAATTATCAAAGAAATATCACCGGTAATAAAATGGAAATATTAACAACTCTTTGATGAGTAGTAGCCAGATTATCATTTTTGTGATGAAGTTCTAATCTTCCATTCTGTAAAGTTACGTTGCATTGCTAAAAGTAGCATTAACCAAAAATAGTCATGGAATGGCTAATGTGTCTAAAATTGTTATATGACTATCAAGGAAAATATTATTAGAAAACAGATTTCCATGACTGGATGAAGTCAAACGGAGATACCAAATATGATTACCTGTAATGAGGAACTCAGAGCAACATTAAAAACTCTGCTGAACAGAAGGCCTACAGTGGCCTCTTTTATTATTTAAATGAAAGACACTATAAACAACTCTTTGATAGTCCCATGCTGGGCTGCTGTTCTAGCCCAATCAGACTTGATTAGGAGTGCACGTTCAGCCTTTTATGAACACCTGTGTCTAAAGCCCACAAATAATTAGCTTAGCCATACCATTTCACTCTAATAATGGTGTAATTTGCCACGCCTTTCAGGCTCCGGACAGCTGGTGCTATTGAAAAACACCTCAGGATTAGGCCCTGACTCCCAGGCCTGAGTCTTTGGTGGCGGGGGGGGTTCTTAGGTATCCATAGCAACACACTTAGCCTGCAAATTATCACCTCTAATAATAACTGGAACAGTCTATCTTTATTTTATTCCAGCTATCCATGAGAAAAGATAAGGCATAGAAAAACTGAAAATCTCTAAAATAAAAAATATATAGTATTACCATGTCCATAAACACGTAAGATTGGGAAGGCAAAGGATTTTTTTTAATCACACCTGTTCAATGTTTATTTGATTATTTAATATAAATCTGTTAAAAGATAACCGAGGGAAAATGAGGTCCACTACTGAATTCATCAGTGCTAATTGACACAGTTACCTACAGGTGCATGGAAATCTAAAGGTGAATTATGATCTTGAAAAGCTCTTTGGCTGAGAGCAACATTGTGACCACTGTACTTTCATCTTAGTCCCTAGAAGGTTATAAATTGGACAGCCTACAAATGCTGATGGGAACACTCTGGCTTCCTACAGCTTCTCAGTACTTCAATCAGCATGTTCCATTAACACAAACACGGTAGGCGGGTAAGGCTAGTTCAAGACTCACCTCAAATATTGGCCCAGTGACATGTCAGTCTAAGGAATATGTCCAAGACCAAAAGAGAAATTCTCCTCATATCAGAATACACCACACCGGCTGAAACAAACAAACAAAAAGTATCTGCTTAATAAAATATGTCCACATATGTTTAGAATAAAAGGCAAGTTGACATTCTTTTTCTATTTTAATAGAAAACTCTTCACTGCTTGTGGATTATCAAGTTTCAAGGAGTTGTAGTCATGAACAATGTAGCTCTCACAGGATACCATTGTGGTTAAATGGTATTTAGCTTTGGAGTAAGACTGCCTGGGTTAAAAATCTAAGCTTTACCACATACTCATTGCATGACTGCGGAGAGGCCAATTACCTCCTCTTAGGCTGCTGTCCTACCTGTACAATGGGAATAATAATAATATCTTCTTTGTAAAGAGAAGTTGAAAATTAGTAAGATAACGTACATAAAATCTTTCTGCAGTATTCTGGTACATGGTACAAAATAAATATTAGCTTGGTAGACCTGAAGATGTGCCACCCAGATCCTTCTTTCCTTCAAGGTAAGATTGTCACCCTAACCGATAGCAGACAGCTTCCAGCTGTCAACAGCTATATGAATTACTTTGGAGAGTTGCCTCATCCAAAGTCATGCCCTCTGGAAACAGCCCACATCCAAATGCTGACTGAGATGAGGGTGTAAAGACCCAGCAACCCAAAATGGGTCTTTGACCCAACATGAGAAAGCTCTGGAAAGCAACCCTACGAGACTAGCTAAGATTCTATTAGGACTACATCACAGCTCCACATCCCTCTTCCTTCCAAAGTTATTGATCTAATAAACACTTCACACAGCACACTCCTTCTCAGTATCTGCTTCCAGAGCATACAACCTGCAACACTGATAAAGTGTTAAAGTGATAAAGAAAATAATTGTATGTTTGAGATTTCAAAGAATATCTCTGGATATTGCAAAACAATTAAATCCACATTTGGTAAATTCAGTTCAACAAATGTTATTATTAGGTCTTAGGAAATGCAAAGAAAAATAAGACACAGTTCTTATTTCTTGAGAAACTACTCATACTCAAGCAAAAGAGCATTCCTTCCAAAGCAGATGTCTATACCACAACTGGCTAATTGCTAATTATTTAATACAGTCCCACAGAAAGTGAGTTCACAACAAAGCAAAGAAAAAACTGTTTCACAGCATTGGGCAACGATACAGAGAAATATTAAAAGTTGACTTGATTTGAATTTTGAAAGATAAAGTGGAGATCCATAAGGTAGAAAGTGAGGAAGTATGTTCAAAAAAAAGGGAACAGCATAACAATAAAACACACTGATGCATCAAAGCATTAAATCACTTGAGAAGTTTAGAAAACAGCAAGAAGGTAAGAGGAAAGGAAACCTGGTATAGACATAGTTGAGTGGAGTAGCTATTCATGAGGCTAGGAAGTTTATCTGGAGGCAAGTGGTACAAAGCTTTCAACATTATGCAAAGAAAAACACCATGTTTGAGTTTTTCTAACAAGCGCTAGGTCTCTAGCCACCATTTTAATCTATTAGTAATCACTCTTTATTCTAAAAGACCTTAGACAGGTGTGAGGATGAGGTGGGGGTAGAATTGACTTGGTGTGGATTTTTTTGGACTTACTCTGATTTCATCAGATTATTAGATCTATAGGTTTGTGTATTTCACCAAATATAAGTTTTCAGATATTATTTCTTTAACTATTCCCTCAGTGCCACTCTTTCTCCTCTCTTGGGACTCCAATAATATGAATGTTGGATTTTATGCAATTGTCACATAGGCCACTGAGTCTCTGTTCATTTGTCCTCAAGTTCAACAATTTGATCCTCTGTCATCTCCTCTACTGCTGATCCCATCCATGGGTTTTCTGTAATAATTTCTGTTATTGTATTTTCTCAGCTCTATCATTTCCATTTTTTATAACTTCATTTTTATTTTACTGAGATTTCCTATTTTTCATTTCAAGAAAATTTATAATTAATTATTAAAGTTTTCTTATTACAGCTACTTTAACATCCTTTTAAGCTTCCACCATCTGATTCACCTTGGTTTTAGTATCAGTTAATTATCTTTTTAAATTTACATTGTCATATTCCTGGTTCTTGGTAGGACTGGTGATTATTTATTGCATCCTAGACATTTTGTCTATTATGTTAGGAAAGCTTGGGTCCCATTTAAATATTTTATTTTGGCAGACAGTAACCATATTGAATTTGAGCATATAAGTCTTGTCCTACTCTTGAGGGCAATGATTCCAATGGCAGTTTAATGTTCATAGTCTTTGCAGTATTAGTTTGTTCTTGTTGGCCTATCTGGTGTCGACAGTAGGTCTCACTGGTTATTGCTGGCACTGCCTGAGGGGGTAAAATAGATTTCCCTAGGTAAGGCCTCCAGGTATCTCTTGGTGGGAGATGGGTATGGTGGGATCTCTTTACCACTGCCCCTGTAGCTGCTGTAGTATCATTGAAAAGAGGAGCAGAGTCTTGTGCATGGGGACAAAGAAGGCTTCCAGACCAGGCCACTAGCTATTGCTGGTTCCCTTGTATACTTCTGCTGATATCTACTGAAAAGAGAAAGAGCCTCAGCTCCCTAGGGAAGAGAGGCTTCCTGTTGGTGCTGCTTGCTGTGACTAGGGCTCTCTTTTTGTTTCTGATCACCTGCCCATTATTTGAGCAGGTTAGGAGAGCCTTGGACCCATGAAGAGAAAAGGACATCTCAGATTAGCTGTTTGATGGGATGGAGTCCCTTTTTTCCATTTCACTTGCTTGTTCCATTGCCTCGGGGTGGAAGAGTAGAGTCTCTGACCCATGGAGACAAATGGCTTCCCATTTTGGGCTCCTTGCTGTGATCACATATCTCTCCCTCTCTCTCTCTTTCTATCTCCTTCTCTCTCTCTCTCCCTCCTTTTCTCTCCCCCTCCCTCTCTTTTTCTCTCTACTTATCCTCTGATGCTGTCAGGTGGACTTTGTTCAATCTGGGGAGACATATGCCTACCTGAGCTGCATTTTTTTAGCTAGGTTGTGGGTTGGAAAACACTGGGTCTGGGTAGCCTTGCTCCATTGGGTGAGGGAAGGCAGGATCCCCAGGGTTGTGTTCTTTCTGTGGACCTGAGGTCCCAAACCACTTTCTTTTTTTTTAACCACCCTTTATTTGTTTCTTGGGCTATTTACAGGATTAATACTTGTATATAGCATATATAGCAGGAAAGAATAGGATTCCACTCTCTTGTCATGACTGAAGTAGCATGGGTGAACACTTTGCAAAGGTGGAAATATTCTATAACCTGATTTGTGGTGGTGATTACAAGACTGAATGCATTTGTCAGAATTCATTGAACTTAGAATAAGTGAATCATATTTTAAATTCTTTATAAATTATACTTGAATAAACCTGAATTTTGTAAAATATATGTGGGAAACTTATCCAAAGGCCATGCAGCTTGTGAGTGGGAGAACAGGAACTGTATTCCAAAGTAGAAGTTACCATCCTGGGTGAAATTAGCAGTGGCACTGGAAAACGTAATTGGAGACAGGCAAATCTGCACCCTGTATTCTGCTCTGCCACATATATCTGCTTGACCTTGGACATTAAATACTTTTTTTGGGCTTCTGTTTCCTCATCCTGCTTATAAAGGATATGGCCGTGGAAATTATTCTACAATTGTCATTCACCTTCTCTTTCTTCCATATCATGTTGATTACTTCTGTGGTTATTTTAACTTTGAGATTTTTTAATTTGTCATGACAGGCACTCTGATTTAATGTTTGCTTACTTACATTCATTCCTTGGTGGTTTAGAAATAAAGGTTTCAGTAAATTTCCTTTTAAAGAGATATTTAATTGCAAGGAACTATTTTGCCAAAAATTTATATTTCATTAACGTATGGTATTTCTATAAAACTGACATTCCACAAGAAGTTGCCATAACTGAAAATGGGAATAATCATGCCTGAAAAATGACAACATTGGGAGGGGCTTTGAACTGAAAATCATGTGCATTTCAACAATGTCTTTAAATCTAATTTTACCATCAAAAAAATGTGGGAATCTCAAAAGTATTGCATGCTTATGTTTAAGTTATATCTCTCTTCTATGAAAGAATGATACAGCCCCATTTTTGGACATGGTAGCATAATCAGCAAGTATTTAACCTGAGAGAGACTTGCATGAAGTCCTGAAGGAAAATGAGGACAATGCCTGCCTCGGTAGATCAGCCTCTTTCATCTCTGTTCAGGATTAAACTTGCTATAGCAAGTTCATTCCCACATGGTGCCTTTAGAGAGTGCTTTACTATTCATGATCATGAATTAACAGCCATTGCCAAACTCAAGAGCAGGCATCCCACTACATGTTTACAGGGTATAAATTAAAGGGAACCACAAAGTTCTACTTTCTCTCCCTCAATTAGTTCCTTCTAGGCTGAAATATTCCCATTGCAGATGGATTTTTTTGGGGGGAGTGGGTTCATATCATTGTTTTGTTTGTTTTGTTTTGTCCTGAAGTGTCCCACACAAGAATGTCATAGCAAAAGTGGCATTTTGCATGAACTCTCTGGAGGCTGAAGCCATATCTTAGGTAAATCTCTGTGCTTCTATGTATAGGACATAAAATGATTTCCGGTGAAATTCAGGAAATTATTCCGTTTATAATTTTCACTCTCTCTCTCTATCCTCCTGTAACATCAAAGAGAAAAATCTCTGTTTAGTGCTAGTTTTTACCACTCTCACTTGTGGTAATATATTTTTTAATAACTGAGAACAGACAGCAAGTGGAAAGTCAACAGCAAGCCACAGTACCCATTTAAAATATAATGTTAAAAATATTTAGTTTTTCACCTACCTTCCCTTTATGTCAAGTGATGCTGGTTTTACATTTATGAGAGCAAATGCTAGTTACTTACATGTAGATTGCATCAAGAATGCAAAATGAGAGAAGCTCAATCAGACTGGGGGTGGGTTGTATATTACAGGAGTTCTAAGGGATAAGAAATAATTTGAGAGATGATGGGAAGGTTGAAACAGGTATTTCAGGGAAAAGGAAAAGTATGGGAAAAGGCATAGAAAGGTGGAAAAGCATGATCTATTTGAGAACTATAGCTCAAAACAATTGGGGCAAACAGCAAATCAAATATTGTGAACTTTTCCATTAATCTACGAGAAGTCAGTTCAGAGCTACAAGCAGGCGGGACACCATCACGTTTGCTATTTAAAAAGAGCAGTCAAGCAGGAATCTGCAAGTGGGCTGGAGGGGAAGAGCTAGTAGCCAAAAATTGAGCCAGAAAATGTCTGATGGATGAGGAGGAAGTGTGTGTATGTCAGGGGTGCATTTATTCTTTATTACCATTTCAATTTTTTTAACGGTCATTGTTCTTTCATGTTTTATCTTCTTATGCTAATTTCGACAAGTTGTGTTTTGCTATAAATGTATGTCTTTAATTAGATTTTCAAATCTGTTAACATATAATTGTTCACTATATTTTGTGTCTTTATGCAACTTGCTATATTTTACATACAGATTTTCACATTTTTTAATTTGCCTATTATATATTTTTCTTTTCATCTTGATCTGCTTAGCCACAAGTTTATTTCTTTGTTTTGTTAAAGAATAAACTTCTTTTTAATTATCTTGTATTTCTGTTGTCTACTTCATTGATTTCTGGCTGATTTATGCTATTTTATTTCTATTTGCATTTTTAAATGTGGCCTATTTCTATTTTCCTGGAGTAATGAGCTGGACATTTACCTCATGTATGTCCAGCCTTTCTTGTTTTCTGATAATTATGGTCAAAGCTGTATATGTATTTTCTTCTTGGTACCCTCTAGGAGCATATCATACATTTCAAAATACACAGCTTTTATTTTGTTTAGCTGTAATAGTTTACAATTCTACTTTTGATTTTCTCTTCAACCCATGGGACATTTAGAAGCACGGAAATGTTCATGTATTCTATTGTTATTAATTTCTAATTTTGTGTCATTATGTCAAAGACCGTAACGTGTGTGGTGTCGATTCTTTGAGTTTCTTGAAATTCCTTTGTAGCCTGATACATAATTCGTTTTGAAGAATGGTTAATGCGGGCCAAAGAAGAAATGTGCTCTCTGTTTACTCAATTAAACATGATGTGTGTGGTCTTCAATTTTCTAAACGCTTCCTCTAAAAAATTAAATAAATAATGGTTTGATGGAGATATAATTACATACCTTTTTATGCCTTAAAGTATACAGTTCTGTGGTTTTTAATTTATCCACAGAGTTGTATAAACCTCAGCACTCTTTAATTTAGAATATTTTCTTTACCCCAGAAAGCAACTCATACCCCTTAACAGCAACTTCCCAATCCCTCTTAATTCTAGCCTTTGGCCGCCACTACTCTGCTTTCAGTATCTGTGGATTTGCCAGTTCTTGACAACTCATATAAATGGAATTATGCAATATGAGGTCTTTTGTGTGTAGCTTATTCCACTTAGGATAATGTTTTCAAAGTTCATCCATGTTGTAGCATGAATCAGTGTTTCATTTTTTATTGCCAAACAATATTCCATTCTATGTAGTGGCCACATTTTGTTTATCCATTCATCAGCTGGTGGACATTTGGGTTATTTCTGTATTTTAGGTCTCATGAATAATACTGCTAGAAACATTTGTGTACTTTTTTTTTTTTTTAACAGAGTCTTGCTCAGTCATCCAGGCTGGAGTGCAGTGGCATGATCTTGCCCACTGCAATCGCTGCCTCCCAGGTTCAAGCGATTCTCCTGCCTCAGCCTCCCCAGTAGCTAGGATTACAGGTGCACACCACAATGCCTTGCTAAATTTTGTATTTTTAGTAGAGACAGGGTTTCACCATGTTGGCCAGGCTGGTCTCGAACTCCTGACCTCAGGTGATCTGCCCACCTCGGGCTCCCAAATTGCTGGGATTACAGGCGTGAGCCACTGCTTCCGGCCTGTGTCCACATTTTTGTGTGAACATGTGTTTTCATTTTCTTGAGCATACATCTAAGAATAGAATAGCTGGATCATATAGTAACTCCATGTTTAACCTTCTGAGGAACTGCCAGGCTGGTTTTCAAAGCAGCTGTATCATTTACAATCCCATCAACAATATACAGACTTTCTTTTTCATTTCTCCCCATCCTAGAGAACATTTGATTTTAGCCACCCAGTGGGTGTGAAGAGTTATCACATTCTGGTTCTGATAAGTGTTTTCCTAATGACTAATGACGCAAACGTTGGACATTTGTATATCTTCTTTAAAGGAATGTCTAATCAGATCCTTGGCCTACTTTTTGATTGGGCTATTTATCTTTTTATTATTGAATTATAGAAGTTCTTTATATATTCTGGAGGTAATTCTCTTATCAGGTGTAAAATTTGACAATATTTTCTCCCATTCTGTAAGTTGTATTTTCACTTTCTTGATGCATTGATTGTAATACAAGCTTTAATTGTGGTGTGGTTAATCCATTTTTGTTTTCTTTTGTGACTAGCACTTTTGACATTGCATCTAGAAATCATTGTGTAATCCAAGGTCATGAAGATTTACTCATATGTTTTCTTCTGAGTTTTATAGATTCAGCTCATACATTTAGAGCTATGACTCTTTTTTTAAAAATCTGTTAACTAGTATTTAAAAAATAAACTTAAAAATTAGGAATAGTTTAGATTTATAGAAACATTATGAAGATAATACAGAGAATTCCAATACACCCCACAACCAGTATCCCTATTGTTAACATCTTAAACTGCTATGGTACATTTGTTACAATTAACCAACTAATATTGACACATTATTAACTAAAGTGTATACATTATTCAAATTTCCTTTTTTTTAATTAACCTAATGTCCCTTTTTCTGTACCAGAATTCTCTCCAGAATACCACATACATTTAGCCATCATGTTCCCTCAGGTTCCTCTTGGCTTGACTGTTTCTCAGACTTTCATTATTTTTGATTACCCTGACAGTTTTGAAAGTACTAATCAGGGATTTTATAGAATGTTCCTCAACTGGGAGTTGTTTGATGTTTTTCTCATGATTGGACTGGGATCATGGATTTGGAGGAAAAAGATCACAAGGGTAGAGTGCTATTTTCGTCTTTTAATAGGAATCTGGATCAGATCTGGTTGAGAATGTTTGTCAGGATTCTCCACTGTAAAGTTACA
Source organism: Homo sapiens (assembly GCF_000001405.40). Lineage (NCBI taxonomy): Eukaryota > Metazoa > Chordata > Mammalia > Primates > Hominidae > Homo > Homo sapiens. The sequence continues at coordinate 52,038,245 of NC_000018.10, read as the reverse complement.
ATTTTTTCATATTTTCCATCCTTTACTCTGGAAAAAATCATCATGAGTGGGCCATACATAAAGGTAGGGAGTTTTGCTTCACCTCCTTGATAGCAGAATGTTTAAATAAATCATTTGAAATCATCCAGTAGACTGTTATACACCTAAGAAATGTGTCTAATAATTTGTCTTTTAATATTAAAAAATTAATGATAATTACAACCAGCTCTTCTATAGTACATACAATGTACTAAGTTCTGTTCTATGACATTTCTGACACATATGTACACATACATATACATCTGTTTGTATGCTTTTTATTTGATTTTGTTTGATAGTAAAAGTATAATTATCCCAGCTTTATTTTCTTCCTAGTTCTTTCTCCATCTCTTTATGTTCAACCTTTCTCTATCTTTAGAGTTAAAAAAAAGCTAGATTTTTAAATCTTATGAGTCTGCTTTTAAAAATCTGTGACTTTAATGCATTTTATTTATTATAATAAAAATAAACTAGGATTTATTTCCACTACCTTTTTGGTTTGTTTCTAAGTATAACTCTTACAGATAGGATCAATCTTCCTTCTTTCTTTCTTTCCTTCCCTCCTTCCTCTCTCTCTTTTCCTTTTATTTCCATTGCTTGTATAAAATTATGTATTTCATTGCATTTCTCTGATGGCTATAATTCATTTATTAAAGCATATAATTTTCTTTTTCTGGGCAATGTCTCAATTTATTTAATACCTATGTCTCCCTCTCTTACATGTTAAGAACCTTGGCTTTTATTTCTCTTTGGTCTCTACTACAATTCATCATACCAGTGTTGATGTAACATTAAGTTGTAGATTAAGTGTTGTGGATATATATTTCCTTTTAATCATTGTTTATTTAAACAAATAATCTTTACTAGTGCCCTTATTTATTCCTGTTTTCCATAATTATTGCCTCCTTGTGGCCTAATTTATATTCTCTTTAAAGAATGTACTCTAAAAAAATAATTCAGATGAGGTCTATGGGTGTTCAGGTAAAAAAAAATTATTTCACTGTATGATTTAAATGAGATATTTTTTGAGTTATCTAGAATCAGTTCCTTCTGCTGCCCCTCAACAATGCATGACCTCATTGTCTTGCTGTTTCAAGAAATTTGATATCATTTCTCACAACTGTGGGAAATGGCTTTTATTTGCTTTTTCTTTGTGGAAGATCTTTATTGTTAAATTTTACTCTGGTGTGTCTGGATTTGTGTTTTTATTTATTTGTTTGTTTATTGTGAGCTGCTTTACACTCTGAAGCTATTTCCAATCTAAGGTCATGTGCTTTCTTTAGTTCTGGAAAATATCCACTATTTCTTCAAAGATTATCTTCCTAGACTGTCTTTTTTTTTTCTTTTTTTTTCTTTTCTTTTGAGATGGAATCTCCCTCTGTCACCAGGCTAGAGTGCAGTGGCACTATCTCAGCTCACTGCAACCTCCACCTCCTGGGTTCAAGTGATTCTCTTGGCTCAGCCTCCCGAGTAGCTGAGACTATAGGCACGCGCCACCACGCCCAGCTAATTTTTGTATTTTCAGTAGAGATGGGCCAGGGTGTTGGCCAGGATGGTCTCAATCTCCTGACCTCATGATCCACCTGCCTTGGCCTCCCAAAGTGCTGGGATTACAGGCGTGAGCCACCACGTCTGGCCCTTACACTGTCTTTTAAATATTTCCTTCTAGGATTCCTGTAAGACGAAAGTGTTCATTCTAATTTGATTTCCTATACATCTTACATTAAAAAAAAATTCTGCCTATTTATGACATCTCCTTAGTTGGGAAAATCTCCATGATTTTCCAGCCCATAAATGAACTCTTTGCATTTATTCTGTTATTTCATTTCTCTGTTGAATTCTTTATTTAAATAATTATATTTTTCCCCATCCAATATCTCCAACTGGTTTTCTTTTTATACATATCTGTTCTTTGTTCACATTTGCAATATGTTTCCCCAAGGATATGTTATGCTTATTCAAAGTCTCTGTTCTTTCTGCTCTGTTAGCTCTGCTTTCGCTAGTATATTTGTTGTTGTTGTTGTCTTGTATTGTTGTCACACTCATTAAATATTTTGTGACTTAAAATAAGTGTACTGTTACCTTATCAGTATTCCTTTTCCAGAGTTAGCCCCCTTAAATTATCACCTCTAATCTGGGAAGTGTGAAGTCTAACCCTAGGCTTCTTATATCTGTGATTTTGAGGAAGGGGAGCTGTATCTCTAGGTGTATTGCCTATTGGTATAATCTGCTTTGCCACCTCCACTTTTTTCTGGTCATATGCTGATGCCTGGGATATCAGTTATCCTATCATACCAGGCTCTCTTTTGAATATGGGGAGAATATGGGGAACAACACTCATGGGAAGTTATCCAATTACTACATATTTATTGGTTATTTTCTGCCTTAGCTTCTCCTGTGGGTTGGAACTTTGTGTTGTTTACTACTATCTTCAGCACTCAGAACAATGCCTGGCTATCGAGCAACCATTCTGTAAATATCTGATAAGTGAATAAACATAATAGTCAGCTATCTATTCCCGCAGGGCTCTGGCTGGATTTGATGAGACTTGTTTATGTCTAGCTTTTATTACAGCCTTCCTAATCATACTACAGGTGGGGCCAATCTAATAATCCAGAGTAGGTCTTCAAGGCAGTGTGTAGTTGTTTATTTTAATCTCTTTCTTTTTAGGGACCTGGGAGGTTCAAGTTCTGGTGAGTGCCAGCCAAATTTTACACTACTGTACTGGAGTTACACTCAGGTCATGTATTCTAGCCTGGTCTGCTTAGAAAAACTTGAGAGAAGGAGGTGAGGGTGTGTGTATTAGTCTGTTCATGCTGCTAATAAAAACATACCTGAGACTGGGTAAATTGTAAGAGAAAGAGGTTTAAGGGACTCACAGTTCCACATGGCTGAGGAGGCTTCATAATAATGGCAGAAGGCAAATGAGAAGCAAAGGCACATCTTACATGGCGGCAGGCAAGAGAGAGAGCATGTGCAGAGGAATTCCCCTTTACAAAACCATCACGTCTCATGAGACTTATTCACTATCATGAGAACAGCATGGGAAATACCGGCCCCATAATTCAATTACCTCCTACTGTGTCCCTCCTATGACATATGGGAATTATGGGAGCTACAATTTGAGATTTGGGTGGATTCACAGCCAAATCATAATAGTGTGCCTAGGAACTTCCACTCCAACCCTCTCCCTGTCGGTTGCTCCAGGTTGCTGTTTCCTCCACCTAAAAAGACATGCAGAGACTTTAAGCCTCCTAAGGTATTTTCACAGTTTTGTACCATTTGTTAGGATAAACTCCACATTCACCCAAGCTATATATTTTCTAGCATTTCCTAGGTTTGATGTGGAAGGCAGAGTTAACAGCCAGTGCTTAGTTTATCTTCTTCTTTTGATATTAATTAATTTAAGTAAACAGTAAATTAGTTTCAATTAAAAATACAAAGTTGGTCATTTTTTAGACAACTTGGCAAAAATTGTGGAAATTGTATAAGGGAATATGAGCCTAAAATAGAAATTATGAATTTGTTAGACAAATAGCTAATGTCTTGAACAGTGCTCAACAAATACTTGTTGGATGCAAATTGAATGCACAAATGATGCTTTGTCCACTGACATGAACTTACATCTCAGTGGAGACCTCATTCCTGCAGAGATGTGACAGGGGAAGACAGACATGAGAAAGAAGACAGAAGGGGGAGATACAGGTGAGGACCAAGTTGTCCAACATTATAGTTTTGTTAAAACCAAGCCCTGCCCACAGCAATTTAGAAAAAGAAAAACGTTAGAAGCTCTGATGGGCTGAAGCAATGCCAAGGGGAATCAGGATATTGGATCAATTTTTTGATTGACCAGGGTCAGCACAAAACAAATATAAAGATCCCAGCACTGACAGGAGCAAGCTACTCATAGGACAGAGAAACCTGCTTAGGGAGATCCACAGCCAACACTGATTCCTGAGCCTGTTCCATGCTGGCCACTTTCAGTATCTATGATACCATTATCCCTCTCCTGCAAGAAACACAGATCCGAATGAGGGGGGAGACCCCAAACCCCAAAACCAGACAATACAGATCACTTACAATCTAGAGATTTCTCAAGCATGGGATGTGATAACATGGCTGCCCAATCAGAAGCAAGCAGAAAGAAAATATCTTGGTGCTACCTGTGACCTATCATGCAGGCTTCTGGATGTAGAGAACCTGATCTCTACTCCACCATATTAATTTTCTCATTTTTAGGTGTCATATTTCCATTCAAATGAAAATCTCATAAAATTACATTGTAAAAGTTCCTAAATACCCAATGTAAGTATATTGGAATTTTTTGTGTATGTATGTGTTATTTTGTTTGCTTTGTATTTTTCCTTTTGAGATAAGGTCTTGCTGTGTCACCCAAGCTGGAGTGCAGTGGTAAGATCATGACTCAATGCAGCCTCCAACTCTTGGCCTCAAGCAATCCTCCTGCCTCGGCTTTCCAAATTGCTGGGATTACAGCTGTGAGCCACCATGCCCCGCCATATTGGTAGTTTAAAAGGCAAGAGAGCATTCTACCTCTAGGATACTATCTTACCTTGCAGAATCTTTCATTTTACTAAATGAAATAAATTCTTACATCTCACTGGCTCTGTGCTTGGCTGTAAGAAGTGAAGAACAGCATACTAATTGATAGCACATATAGACCACTACAAACCAGCAGGGTACCTAACTTCTGGTGTTGCAGCAGTAGACTAAATGTTAGAGAGCTGGTTTTCTGACTGCCTCTATGACCCTGGGCAATTCTCTTAACTGCATCTAAGTAGGCCGGTGGATTAGGTAATTTCTGAGGCCCCTTTTAGTTCTGAAATGTTTCTTTTAAACTTTGTCAGTGACCCCACCATGAGTTTCATCATTAGGAAGACTAATTTAGGGAGGAGGCAAAGGATTTCATAGTTATTACTTGCCAAGATTGGGAGCTTTGCAGCGGTTCTGAAGCTGACGTTTCATTATCATTACTCTTTTAACTTCAACTTTTATTCTAGATACAGAGGGTACATGTGGAGGTTTGTCATGTGGGAATATTGCATGATGCTGAGCTTTTGGGTATGGATCCCATCACCCATGTAATAAGCACAGTGCCTGATAGGTAGTTTTGCAACCCACACTCCCCTTATTTCCTCCTGCATCTGGTAGTCTGCAGTGTTGTCTATAGCTCCTGTATTTATGTCCAAGTGTGCTCAATGTTTTGCTCTCACTTATAAATGAGAACATGCAGTATTTGGTTTTCTGATCCTGTGTTAATTTCTTTAGGATTATGGCCTCCAACTGCATCCATGTTTCTGCAAAGTATATAATTTCATTCTTTTTTATGGTCATATAGTATTCTGTGGTATATATGTACCACATTTTCTTTATCCAATCTTTGCTGTTGTAAATAGCACAGTATTGAACATACAAGTGCATGTGTCTTTTTGGTAGAATGATTTATTTTCCTTTGGGTATATACCCAGTAATGGGATTGCTGGGTCAAATGGTAGTTCTGCTTTAAGTTCTTTGAGAAATCTCCAAACTGCTTTCTGTAGTGGCTGAACTAACTTGCATTCCCACCAATGGTATATAGGCAGTTCCTTTTCTCTGCAGCCTCCATTATTATCCTTATCCCTCCCTAGAAAACTTGTGTTGCTGAGATCTCAATAAATCCCTTGACCCCCGGTCTGAGGCCAAATAAATTACAGATCTATGCGCATGCACACACACACACACACACACACACACACACACAAACATACACATGGCTTTTCCGTAGTTTGCCTGCTACAGGAAACACATAATGTGTTAATTAAACTTGCGAGACGGGATGCAACTCTAGATAATCTGTGGAGTAATTCCATCTTAGTTGAACAGGCTGAGAACAGCTTGATCTGGAATACATGATATGACTAGACAACATTTTGAGAATTATTTCTTTGGGGTAGTAGTTAAGGTTACTACCCCAAAAGTAGTTAACTACTTTTGGGGTAGTAGTTAAGGTAATTCTTTGTAAGATGAATTCAAGGTAAAGGTTCAGCAACATCAACCATAAAGAAAAAGAAATGATTGGGATTAACCTAAGAATGCCTAAATTTCATTTCCAAAAGTGACCTCAAAAAAAACTAAAAATATCGCGGAAAACTTCTACTACACCAGGAGTAGTTTATACTTCAGGGATTTTTCTTTCTTGCTAATGTAGAAAGAAGTATAGTCCTAGAGCAACCTAGTCAGGGAAAGCATTCTCCTCGCTTATTTCCTTGGACAACCAATTAAGTTGTCAGTTCCAAATTTAGACAGAAGCTTGAAATAGGCTTAATTAGAGTTAAAGGGATTGGGTTATTGAGTAAAATTTCCACTCACTGGCTTATGTTTTGGAAAGCAGAGACTGTTCTATCATCAAGCTGGTGTTTTGTTAAGTGAGGTGGAAAGCTGAATTAGGTAAGAGCAGAAAGCTAAACTGGTGGTTTTATGTTGCAACCAAAGCTAAGGGGAGAACCAAAAGTAGCAAGGTAGCTTTGGCAAAAACAAATTAGAACCTAAAAACCTCCTCTGATTTAATGACCTGTAGGGTTTTTTTTTTTAATGGAGAGATTAGGAAAGGAAATAAATGATGACTCCTACTAGAGAATGTTTCAATCTATGTGTTTGAATTGTATCATGTAGGGAAGAGCACAGGCACTGGAACCTAGTCTTTAATCAAGGCTCTTTTGTGTACTGGTTTTGTAAACTAAGGCAAATTTCTCAACTTCTCTGAGTATTGATTTCTCTAACTATAAAACATGGGTAATAATATGTACATCACACATTTTACAGTTGTTGTAAAAAATAGAAATAATGTTATTCGGTTGCTCCGTGTCACATAGTTGAATATCTCAAATTTTACAGCTCATGTCTTTTCAGTGCAATGGAAGGTACAAATTGAGATGTTGTAAATTAATATTCAAGGAAGGCTTGTTATTTAAAAAGGAACTTGCTACAAATCATTTCATAAAGTAAATAGTTCTGCTAAAATGTGGTCAGTGCCTTATTGTTCAAGTTTAGACTTTTATAAATAATATTTTCTTAACATGGAAACACACACCAACTTTCAGGACATGATTTAAAAAAATGTTGTCCTGAGGCTTGCTACATTAATGACAGCTTGACCAGGTTACTGCTCCTATAGGATACAATCATCTTTCAAGAAAGTTGCAATAAATGGCTCCTCCAAAAACAGAATTACTTGCTCTAATGCTGGAGTGGGAGAATATAGCATTATCTTTGTCTTTTCTTCAAAAGAGACTTGGAAAATTCCAAATCTTCTGTGATATTTTTCCTGAACACTTTTCTACCCCCAGTAAATTGCTCCTTTCCCTATATTCCCATAGTATTTTGCTCATATCACAATCTCTGTGACAAACACAGCTCGTGTCTAGCTGTGAAAAATGCAGCTAGTGTTTTTAAGTACTTGTTATGTGCCAGATACTGTTCACATGCTTGATATGTAATAAATCTCTTAGTCATCTTTATATAGCTAAGAGGTAGGTGCTATTATAGTCCTCATTTTATAGATGATAAAACTAAGGCACAAAGGAGCTAAACCACTCGCACAGGATTCTACACTGGGTAGTGTTATAGCCTGAACATTCAGTTTGTTTCCGCACTCTGCTCTTACCCACGTCAAGCTGTGTTGCCTCCTTGGGTTACATATTTGTGAATCAATCCATTGCAATCATTCGAGGTATTTTGTGAGATCTTATGGTTAAAGCAGAATCTGGAAGACGTGATCCTGACACTGCAGAAATAATCATTAAGAGAAATAGTGTGGCCAGAGAAAACATTTTTCTCTTTCAAGAGTTTTCCAAACGCTACGCTGGAATGAGAACAGAAGTCTAGAATGCCAATATGCTGATAAATTGCTTACCAATGATGAACAAATTTGTCAACAATTGCATCTCCATATCTTAGATAAAAAAGAAAGCAAAATCATCTAACACTGCCTATTTATTATGAAAAAAAAAAAAAAAAAGAAGAACCGGAGAGAGAATACCCACTCCCAACCCGCTTTCTTATAGTAACATAAGGCCCCTCGGGGTTCGGTTCCTGTGTACTTTCCCAGTTCTGCATTTTTGCTCCTTCCTTTCATCTTCCACACTTCTATCATACTGAAATGGCCTCATTTGCCTGAAAATGCTCCAGTCTCTCTCCCCCACACGTCATAGTACCTTCTGTTTCCTCTGTAGAAGCCCACCTCATCATTGAGTAATTCTTGTCCATCTCTCAGATGACTAATTGAACATTACTGCAGATTAAGCCTTCCCTGACCCCCTGACCCAGGGTAAAGGCTTTGCCTCTTGTTCCCATTAGATCTCCTGATGCCCCCCATCAAAGAAGTTACCACCTGAACTGGGTTTGCCTGGGTAGTCAGCTGCTTGTCTTTGTTGCTCAACAGCGAGCTCCGTGAAGACAGGGAATGTAACTGTTTAGTTCCCATAAATTTCCTATTGCCAAATCTTCTGCCTGCAGGGTGTAGGTTTAAGAACACAAACTTGGGAGCTAGAATCTCAGCCCCACCACTTAGTAGCCACAAAACTTTGGGCGATATATTTATATTCCCTGAGCTTCACCTTTTTGTATGTATATTAGAAATAACATCTACCTTACAAGCTTGTGGTTAGGATCTAATAACCGAACTAACTGAGACAATATAATTAAAAGTGCAAGAATAGTGCCTGGCACAGGGTAAACTGTAGATGGCTGCTTTTATTAGTAATAGATTCTGTGACTGTAGGCTTCCCGTGAAAGCCTACCAACTCACTTCAGATAGTTGGAAACAAGGAATAGAATAGATGGTCACTTTGGACTATTCAATCATTTTAGGGAGATTTGGAAATTGTCATTCTTAGATGTCAGTTTTAATTACTGACCTCAGTTTGATGCTAGAACATAGTGTCCTTGCTGGGTGACATTAAAAGAGATCCACTTGAAACATTGCTACTTCTATTTTTTTTTTTTTCTGGCCTGATTGCTTTCTCCCCTGAACTCCGATTTCAAACATCGCATCAGCATTTTCTCTGCTGACAGCATTGCAAGTTCAGGGATACTGCTCCTTGGGGCATCGTTGACTGCTTCTGGTAAACAGTGCTCAGTGTGTTTGCTTTAGTTCTGTAAAGAAGCCAGGAAGGAATTGGGTTTGAGGCCCTGGAGAGCTTCACAGACAGAGTCGGGGTTGGGGGGTGGTTTTGTTTTTTTTTTCCTTTGAGAACAAGTTGTTTGCCACCCTGTATTAATGTTGTAGAAAGTTTAGTTTTTTCCTCTCCACCTTTCTGGATGACTCTCCTCCTCTTGGCATTACTCTTCTTTATCATCATAGTCACTGATACCCAAGATCTGTTGGAATACCTCCCCTCTGGCAATTCTGGACCCCTTATCTGTTGACAGAGGTTGGCAGAGGTAGGGCAGGATCTCTCACAGGACATCTCCACATGTTCCATGTCTCACTCCCCCAAATTGACATTATATAATCCTACTCCAATGACTCTGATCTCGACCTCTCTATGCTTTGGTAGTGTGTGTATTTGGTGTTTTCCTCCTAGATTCTATAATTGCTTTCTACTGACAGACAATCAAATAAAGAAAGAGGAAATAGCACTGGGCCAGGAATAAGAAATGAAGGTCCACTTAGTTTCTGTTTTAATATTTTTACGTGACCTTGAGCAAATCACTCTACGTCTTAGATTCTCGGCCTCCTAATCTATAAAATCAGCACATTGAAATAACTTGTTCCTGGAAATTTGCTTCGAAAATGTATAATTAATGGTAAAAAAAAATGTAAAGCTCTTTAAAGAGGTAGATATTCAAAGACAGGAGAACTTCTTGAGATACCTTCATTATCCCATTGGCATCTCTCAAGAACTGGATCAATGTCAAGGTGCCTGATATGGCCGGCTGAGTCAGACCATGCCAGTCACTGCTTAACAGAGTCCTCCAGAGCCTGGAATAAGATGGCAGAACACCTACCATGGGTTTTTTTCAATTTTCCTGCTAAAGTGACTCCAACAGATTGTATACTTCAGAGAGTCAGGGGTGTAGATCAAATTAGCATGCTGCAAGGCTGGAAGTCTGTTCATGTCTCATATTTTATCTTTAAATTCATAAAAACCGTATGTTTTACCCCAAGCTATTTTTTGAATAAAAATAATACTTGAATTATTTATTATGAAGTGAAATTGATAATTCAAGAATGTGCACTGAGTTGCGTGCCTGGGTACCCACCTAGGTTGTGTGCCCCCCAATTTAAGAAGCATAGACTTATCAACAATATGAATTCATGGAGTGCACTCTATGTCAGGCACTGTTCCAAGTGCTTTGCAAGAAAGAATGTTAATAGATCATAGGAAGTTCTAAAGTTGGTGAAGCAGAAAAGCAGAGAATATTGTTTCAACAATGTCTCCCTTATTATCTGTAAAGTAGGAAAAAGAACAATATTATAACTTAGAAATTTAATGTAAGAACTAGACAAGATGCTATACAGGAAAATATAAACTGGCAACACAGTATACATGATAGCTATTCATGTTACTAATGCTAACCTCAACCAGGACATCTAGAACGTCAGAAGAGACAGGGGCTGTGATTGAATTCTGCCAGTTTGCTAAGGGATTTGGGGTTGGAAAATATCCTCATGAGCTCAAAAATTTCTTTGAACTGTTCAGGAAGCTTATGGAAATGGTGTAGTCCTGGGAGAAAATGACCCACATTGGACAAAGATTAAACCATATCTGTGCTGAACTATCCATATTTTTTTCCAAATTAAAGTTGGGTAGAGCAGGTAGTAGGACTATATCATTGAATCCATTAACTTTCAAGCGTATTCTTTATGTCCATTATCAAAGGTTTTTTGAAAGCAAATACATTCCACTATCCAGGAAGAGAATTCTACCCCAAAATGATGGCTTAATGAGGCTTTTTATTCTTCCCTTCTCTGAACAATATGACCTTTTCCTCTGTCACCAAAACCACAATCATTACTCTCACTTTTTAATGATATTATCTTTATCTGTAATGCTGATTTTGAATTCAGACATGAATCTTGCATATTTAAGGTAAAAATGCAATATAATATGACCATTTAAAAGACAGAAAGACAGTGAGAGAGGAAACTATTGATAAATATATATTAAAAGAAAGATTACTTCCAAAGACATAATTTGATTTCCTCTCAAGGAGATCCAGTTTCTGAAATCAGAAGAGACTAGGAAGCAGTCAGTTGGGTTTCATTCGTCTTTATGTTTGAAGTCACATTATTGGCCAGAGACCTGGCATAGTAATAAAGACCATCTGGGTTGAATTTGTACTTTCGATCTTGTGCCATTTGAAATTTATTTTCTTTATTACTTGGAATAGAACTGACTCAGGGACAGGATTTGTTTAAAGAAATAGAAGTGCAGCAAATGGAGGGACGGGTGATCTCAGACCACCAGAGCCCCAAAGCCTTCTCTCATCCTGGAAGTAATCAATTTCCATCCATTTTTTAATAGTCTCTGTAAGTATATATTGTGACTAATGAATATCATGGAAGTATTTTTTTAAAATCACTCTACTGTGCTTTATAAATATATACACATATATACACACACATAGTTTTATAGTTTTAATTGTAGCTTGTTATATAGTTATATCTAAAATTGTCAACCTGTTAAACTACTACAGCTATCCCAATAATGCAAGTATTGTCCACACATTTTTGTTTTTCTTCTTTGAGGACAGACTTTATAGTCTACTTGAAAATCATACAATTAATTAACCCTGCAAATCTAATTGAGTTTGATACATTGATTTTCAAACATGCTTTTAGGCAAACAAACAGAGAAGGTATGGAAAGCCAACAAATCCCTTGTTTATTCTCCCACTTGACTTCTTTGGATGCCTCTGTGGCATTCTCAGGTCATCAAGGGGCAGTTTGAAACCCCTATAGAAAAAACAGACCACAAATTTTGGAATTGGAAGAATTCCTTTGAGAAAAGTTACAATTTCTCCTTGATTACCTACTTTGTTCCCTAAACTGTATTGTGTATTATTATCATCCCCCAATTTTCTTTGATAAAATATTTTCATATAAATATTGTACAACAAACCCCCATATAGGCTCCACCTATATTCAATGAGATTTAAACATGTTCCTTTGGGTCATTTAAAAGTTAATTGCAAATATCACACTTCTCCTTAAATATTTCTCCCTGAATCACGTATTACTAAAGGTATAATTCAAAATATATTACCATTATCACACATAAGACAATTAATAATATCATGGTATAATTTAACATTTTGTTCATGTACAAATACTGCCAATTGTTTTAAGAATGTCTATTATAGCTTGTTGTCTCTTCCTCTCTCTCTCTCTCACCTTCTCTTACTGAAAGAAGATCCTATCAGTGTTAAGGCATCTCATTTGCTTATAGCTCTTTAATTATTTTCAATAGATTAAACAACAGCCCCTCACCTGTTTTTCAGTATTGACCTTTTGAATAATCCAGGGCAGTTTTGTTATTGATGTCCCACATTCAGGATTTGTCTACTTCTTCTTGCTTATTTAAAAATTTGTTATTCTACTGTCTTCTTTTACTGTAAACAAGACATTAAAACTACAGTCCTGGTGCAATTTGGATTAATCATTGGAAACAAGAATATGTCATGGGATATGCTTGCTACATTATTTGGTATCACAATAGGAGGCTTAAAATGTTGTAGGTGAAGGTGTCCTACCATTGCCAATACCAAATGTGATCAGCTAGTTAAAATAGTAGCCATCAGATCTCTATGTAAAGATATATTTTTCCCTTTGCAATTAGTAAATAATATTTGGGGTCATTTTTTGGCACAATGTGAAAATACTGCTTCCAACAAACTTTCAACTAATAGTTCAGCATCCGTGTTTGTCCCTTGCCTGAACCAGTCTTGACATTAGAATTTGCAAAACTGTGACATTCAGTTTCTTTCTAAGTGTATTAGCCACCATTCATCTAAAAGGAGAGCTTTTGCTACCCCTCCCCTACCTTTTGAATCTCTCTGACTCAAATGTTTATTATTCCTGTGTTACTTTTTCTTTTTTTTTGAGACAGTGTCTCACTCTGTCATCCATCCTGGAATGCGAATGCAGTGGTGCAACCTCGGCTCACTGCAACCTCTGCCCCCCAAGCTTAAGCCTTCCTCCCACCTTAGCCCCATAAGCAGCTGGAACTACAGGCACATACCACCATGCCTGGCTAATTTTTGTATTTTTAGTAGACACAGGGTCTCATCATGTTGCCCTTACAGGTCTTGAACTTCTGAGCTCAAGTCATCCACCCACCTCAGCCTCCCAAAGTGCTGGGATTACAGGTATGAGCCACCACGTCAACCCCATGTGTTACAATTGATTATACTGATTATTCACTATGATGCTTAAATTGACCTGAATTTGATCAATAGGAGCATGCTTAAACACGTTCTTTTGTCTTTTTTACAGATCTACATTAATCTTTGAGCACTTTCTTGATTTTCGGTATAATTAGGGATCTTGGCTCACATTGTATTTTTCTGTAGACCTGTGGCTTAAAAACATGTCCACAAATTCTTTGACATTACTGCCATCAAAAGGAAGATTCTACTACCCTTCCCATAGAATATGAGTTGGTCCTAGTGACTCACTTCTAACAAAGAGAATGCCGCAAAAGTAATGCTGCGTGAATTCCAAAACTTGATCACAAAAGGAGATACAGCTGATGTCTGGCTTTCTCTTTCTTGAGATATATGTCTTCAGTCCTGAGCCAACATGTAAGAAGCCTTCTTATCCTGAAACCACCAAGGTACAGAGCACATGGAGATAAGGAAAACCCCAGCTCTTCCCACCCGCAGCTATTTGGGTCTTCCTAGAATCACTTGCCAGACATATGAGTGAGCCTTCAAGTGAGTCCCATTTCCAGGCTATAAGCTGCCCCCAGTGACATTCAGTGGAGTGGAAATGAATTGTTCCTGACAAGTCCAGACCAAATTACAGATGCATGAGCAATATGGATGCTCTTGTTTTGTAAACCACTCTGTTTTAAAGTGGTTGATTTCATAGCAGCAGATAACTACAATATCTAGAATCAGTCAATTTTCCAAAAAGCTCTTTTGTTTTTTTAAGTGGGCAATAGTATTAGAAATAGATCTGGATGCTGATTCACTCATTGATCCTGGGCGTTTTGCTTTCAGGCCTTTTCAGGGGGTAGAGTGGGGAAATATATATTTGAAAAATTGTGAGTTTACATTCATATTTCCAACTACATTTGCCATTAAAGAAGTTATTACTTATACTTTATTATCACATTTTTTTGCACTGAAAATCTTGGTTCATAATAATATTTTTACCTATTTGCTCCATCCTACAATGATACAGCCTAATTTTTAAAAATAGTACTATTAATATTTCTAAATCATAACTATTAACATTACTATTAATAATAAACCTACTGTGTGAATTTAAGATTTCTATGCAATTCTTATTGTGTGCTGTTCAAATATTCCCCATTATGTACAGTCAGAGTGTGGGGTTCAAAATCACTTAAACCCTCTTTTTCCTTATTTTAGGTTTGTGGGTAAATGGGTTTGTTACATAGGTAAACACGTGTCACAGTGGTTTGTTGTACATATTATTTCATCACCCAGGTATTAAGCTCTGTATCCAATCGTTATCTTTTCTGCTCTTCTCCCTTCTCCAACCCTCCATCTTCAAGTAGACCCCAGCTGTTCTTTCCTTGTTTGTATTCATAAGTTCTTATCACTTAGCTCCCACTTATAAGTAAGAACATGTGATATTTGCTTTTTTGTTCCTGCATTAGTTTGCAAAGGATAATAGCTTCCAGCTCCATCCATGTTCCTACAAAAGACATGATCTTGTTCATTTTTATGGCTGCATAGTATTCTATGGTGTATATGTACCACATTTTCTTTTTCTAATCTGTCATTGATTGACATTTAGGTTGATGCCATGTCTTTGCTATTGTAAATAACACATGCTTTTCTCTAAGTGATTGTTATCAATTTTATATAAACAGGTCCTTTGGTTTAATCTTAGGATTTTTTTTCCTTTAGTTTGAAATTTGTAAACATTTACATTGTTCAAAACCCATAACTACATAACATGGTGAATTCAACTCACAAGCCCTTCTGCTCTCTTTTTAGTAAATGTGTTTATTAGTTTCTCATTTGTCTTTCCTGGAAATATGTATGGTTATTTCCTCCTCTTTTGTATACAAAATAACAATAATATTGCTTTCTTTACTTGATAAAATAACTTAGAATCCTCTTTATATCAGCTCATGCGGTAGCTGTTTCCCATTCTTGTTAAAGGTTGTATAGTATTCAATTGTACTTTGATCTACCTTTTTTTATTTAACCAATTCACTTGATGTATATTATCAATCTCTTTACATTACAAAGAATTTTCCAATTAATAACCTTGTTCATGTTTTCTGTGGTAACTGTTTTGTCCTGTTTTTATGCAGGTATATCTACAGGGTTGATTTGAAGAAGTGG
The DNA here is from genome assembly GCF_000001405.40 of Homo sapiens. Classification (NCBI taxonomy): domain Eukaryota; kingdom Metazoa; phylum Chordata; class Mammalia; order Primates; family Hominidae; genus Homo; species Homo sapiens. The sequence goes on along the minus strand of NC_000018.10, from coordinate 52,022,681 downwards.
GATTTAGTCATTTAAGAGTAAAGGCATAAGCAATTATGTAAGATAGTGCCAAATTTCCCTCTTTAGTAATTGTACTATTTTGAATTTGTACAAGCAAAGTGTGAGAGTACCTGTTTCTCCACAGCTGTACCAATGGAATATTTGTTTTATCAATCTTCTTTTTGATTTTTGTCAATCTGATGATATCTCATTGTGTGGTTCTAATTTTTCTTTTCTCATAAGAAAGATTTGATTTTTTTCATGTTTTAAAGCTATTTGCCTTTCTTACTTTCTGTGAACTATTGTTTTATGTCTTCTATCCATTCTTCTCTTGGGTTTAGTCTCTTCCTTCTTAATTTTGAACAGTTCTTTATTAGAGTTATGGACACTTGCAATATAAATTGAATACATTTTCTTTTAACTTATGGCTCTTTTGCCATGAAATTTTATTTAATAAAGTTTATCATTGTTCTTTTTGCATCTGCATTTTGAATCATAGTTGGAAACACTCCCAAGTTTATATATTCACTTACGTTTTCTTCTAGTAGTTTTAATCTTCATTTTTTAACTTTCAGATCTCCGATCTACTTGGAGTTTGATATATAGTGTGATGTTTTACTTAGATGGTGACCCCGTTGTCCTAGTGCCATTTATTCAAAGTCTAACCTTTTCTCCAATTATATTTGATACTACATTTATCATAGAGCAAATTTCTACAGATAGCTGTTACTTGCTTTGGACCTTGTGTTCTAGTCCATTGGTTCATTTTTCTAATCATTGGCATTCTATAAAACACTCATTTTTATAGAATAGACTTTCTAGTAGACTTTCTAGTATGTGGTAATAGCTCACTGGAGCTCTTTGTTCAGGGTTCTTTCCCTAGCAATTCTGACACACTTATTTTTCCAAATGAACTTCATCAGCTTATCTAGAAAGAAGAAAGAATAGTGTTTTATTGAGTTCATGTTAAATTTATATATTAATTTAAGGTGAATATATATTTTTATGATCCTGAGTAAGTCCTATGCAAGAATAAGAATTTTTTAAGTGTCTAATTCTACTTTTGTGCCTTTTAGGAGTAGCTGAAGTTTAACCCATATAAACTTTGCACACATGTTGTTGAGTTTATTTCTAAGTATTTCACCTTTATATTATTATGTTATTATACTATACTATAGTACAGTAGTACCATATGTTACTATTGTTAATGTGGGTTTATATATATATGTATATTTACACATACAGAATATATATATATATATATATATACAGAATATATATGTATATGTTCTCTAACTAAGCATTGGCTATTTCTAAAAATCAGATTTGCTATGGATAAATGAAATCTGGGAGAATATTTTTACAGACATAGAGAAGATTGGCCTTTTCAGGAAAACGCAAAACTCAGAAACTATAAAGAAAAGATTAATGGATTTATCCATACAAAAACTTAAAGTGCCTGCATAAGAAAATATCATAAACATAGTTTAAAATACGTGACTGAGGAAAATATCTGAAATTAAAATAACAAAGTGTTCATTTTCTTCATACAGTTATTAAAACAATATCAGTATTAAAAATACCAATAACCTAACAGAAAAAATGATCAAAGTATACAATTAGACTAGTCATATTTAGAAAAAAATGAACTGTGTACAAGCATATAACAAAGTAACAATAATACTTACAAGTAGTCATTATCCTCCAAGTTGCATATGCTGTGGCAGGTACTGACTTAAAGGCTTTTTTTGTATTAATTTATTTAAGACTTACAGAAAACTTTTGGGCTTGGTATTATTATCATCCTCATTTACCTATAAATCCCCATTCACCCTATGTCTAATGATTATAGGTAAAATAAGATTATTCAAACTGACTAATCAACTCTAAAGCTAAAATACTATTTTCATCAATCATATTGGCAAATATAGAAAGTCTAATAGTACATAGTGTTGCTGAAACCATGAGGACTCATAGTTTCATAAATTTGGGGGAAAGTATGTATTGCTGCAATCTCTTAACAGCACCTAGCAACTTATTAAATGCATTTGTGATTTTATATAATGGGAATTTCTGATATGAATTTCTTAGAGATATATAGTATTACAGGTGTGCAAATATGAAAGTATAAAGATTTTAAAATTATTATTTATTTATTTAATAGAGACAGGTCTTGCTATATCACCCAGGGTGGTCTCGAACTCCCCAAGCAATCCTCTCACCTTGGTCTCCCAAAGTGTTGGGATTACAGACTTGAGCCACTGGGCCTGGCCGGCCGTTTTATCCAGCTTCAACTCCAAACACTGTCTATGCAAATCCCATACTAGCCTTCTTTTATTCATTTTCTTTTAGAAAGAGGATCTTCCTCTGTCATCCAGGCTGAAGTACAATGGTGCAACCACAGCTTACTGCAGCCTCAAATTCCTAGAGTTGGGTTTAAGCCATCATCCCACCTCAGTATCTTGAGTAGCTGGGACTTCAGTTGTGTGCCACCACACCTGGTTAGGTTTTAATTTTTTTTTCTTTTTTTTTTTTAGAGATAGGATCTTGTTTTGTTGCCCAGGCTGGTCTGGAACTCTTGGCCTCAGTGATCCTCCCATCTCAGCCTCCTAAAGTGCTGGGATTTCAGGTATGAGCCAACGCACATGGCCTGATTCCTTTAACAGCATTTTTCTTCTAGAGGAAAAAGACTAGAACAATCTATCTGTCCAGCAGTAGGAGCTTGGCTAAATAAAATATGTTACATGCAGCCAATGAAACAACTTGATAGACAATATTGAGTATAAAGTTTATTTCTACATTCTAATTATGGAAATAATATCAAGATTTTGAAGGATAAAGGCAAGGTTCAGAATTGTGGGAATAGTTTTCTCTCCTTTGGATTGTTAAAATAGGCAATGTGCTTGTATATTCATGTAGAGTTTCTGGAAGGTATGTAAGAAACTCAACAACATTTTTCTCTGGAGAAGGAACTGAAGGTTGGAGGTGAGAGAGACATTTGCTTTTCATTATGCAGTGAAATTTTTGCCATATGCAAGTATTACCTTTGAGATTTAAAAAGAAAATACTACAGAGAAAGAGATTTTAAATAAAATCAATCTCAGGACAGGCATCAAGTCTGCCATGGTGGCTGTGCTGCAGGGAACTATGCCCTCTGCAATGTTGTTCTGTTTGTGTGTTAAAGTTTGACAGATAATGATATCCCCACACCTTAAATTCAGGGGCTCTCTACTGACCTGTGACTCCAGTTCTCATGGGAATTTTTCTTAAATAGATTGAGAGTGTAACAAATATATCTTATGAGTGGGTTCACTTGGTAAAGAAATTTGATGTTGTGAGGCAAGTCTGAGAGTGAACCCTCACAACTGAAGTTGTAGAAGTACTGTGTATAAATTGGAGAAATGCCTTGAAGCTGAGGATTTCTTTTGCAAACCAGGAAGCCTTCTCAGTACGTGGGTTTCCACTAGCATTAGGTTCACTTGCAAAAGCTATCTGCCCAATGTAAAATCCACATATTAAGCAGTTTTCAAACAGCATCCCTAGGGACCAAGCTTGTTAAAATTGTTCTTCCTTAAACAAATGTGTATTTGAAGAAATAGGAAGATACTCATTCCACAGTTACCTTTTGGCCCTAGGGAGGACTCAGAGCATCTCCTGTTAAATTATGACCAACCTAAGGGACATATTAGCCAGTGCTGGCAGGGGTCAGTCCTGGGCCCAGTGCTGCTGCTTAATGTCCTCTGTAAGATGACAGGCTAATCAAAAGTACAGAGGATACCTAGCAGTCAGGGAGGAAATAATGTTTTGGAAACAAGAATATAATTCAAATTGTTAGTAAACTGAAAAGGTGAAGAAGAAAACAAACAGAAAGAAGGAAAATCTGAGAAGAACTTAAATGTAGAAATATAATAGCCAAACTCTAGGTGAATAACTGTTTATGATGGTCAGTGTTTAGCCAGAAACTCCATTCTGTGAGTCACACACAATAGATGAAAATCATTCATTTATACCAAGAGCTTGTCTGGTATTATTTTGAGTTCTCTTTTTATTTTGGGTTCTAATGTCTGCTTGGAAGGATATTTAAAAATCAGATATGGTGATGTGACTGACAAATATGACCTAAAAGGAACTATATGAGCAGAAAATATCATGTACATAGATTTTAAAGCAGCATTATGTAGATAATTTCAGGAAGGATTCTTAACCTTACAGAAATTGAAAAGCCTGCAATGAAGGTTCATGTCAGGGCAATACTGTTCTAATGGGGATGAGTTAAGGCTCCTAGCAACCTCTATGCTAATTTTGGTTTTTTTGAGATGGAGGCTTTCTTTGTCACCTAGACTGGAGTGTAGTGGCACAATTTCAGTTCACTGCAACCTCCGCCTCCCGTGTTCAAGCGATTCTCAAGCCTCAGCCTCCCGAGTAGCTGGAACTACAGGTGTGCACCACCATACCTGGCTAATTTTTTTTTTTTTTTCAGAGATGGGGTTTCACTAGTTGGCCAGGATGGTCTTGAACTCCTGACCTCAGGTGATCCACCCCTCCCCGCCTTGGCCTCTCAAAGTACTGGGATTATAGGCTTGAGCCACTGTGCCTGGCCCATGCTAATTTAAATTAGGCCCTGGGAGTGGGTTAAGGAGATGATTGCTTTTGTCCTATAGACTGTCATGAAGCTTTATATTTCTTATCTATAACACACATTGAAATTATAAGTAAATAATTGATTTCTCCCACAAATATTTATTGAGCACTGGCTGAGTGCCTAGCACTATTCTAGGCACTTGGTGTTCATATTCCCTTTGAATTCTGCTTTCAAACTAGACAGTCTTTGTAGAATTCATCTCTTCCTTAAAGCAATGTATCTTACATAGCTAGTAAAAGCCAGCTCCCACTTTTAATTTTGCCTGGAGAGCTCTTTGTCCAAATCCAAAAGATCATTTGTTTTATTTTCCATCTTCCAAGTTACCACAGGAGACTGTTTTCTCAAATATTTCACAACTATATAGCAATGGCCCCAATTATTCCAGTTTCCTTGATATTTTTTCAGATTCCTGCCCATTTCCAGAGTTGAAACCAATGACACATATTTTATGTTTCTGTTAAAGTAACAGCTTATTCCTAGCATCAATTTCTGCATAAGTTAGTCATTGCCACCAAAATGTCACGTAACAAACAACCACAAAACACAGTGGCTTAAAAACAGTAAACAAATGCTCATGAACTTGTGAGTCAGCTGAGCAGGTCTCCTGGTCTTGACCAAGCTCATGCCTGTCTGTGGTCAGCTGCAGGTCCGCTAGGCAGCTTTGCTAATTGAGAATGAACTCCATCTGGATACCTAGAGTGACTTGACTCTACACCACATATCTTTTTTTTTTTTTTTTTTTTTTTTTTTTTTTTGAGACGGAGTCTCGCTCTGTCGCCCAGGCCGGACTGCGAACTGCAGTGGCGCAATCTCGGCTCACTGCAAGCTCCGCTTCCCGGGTTCACGCCATTCTCCTGCCTCAGCCTCCCGAGTAGCTGGGACTACAGGCGCCCGCCACCGCGCCCGGCTAATTTTTTGTATTTATAGTAGAGACGGGGTTTCACCTTGTTAGCCAGGATGGTCTCGATCTCCTGACCTCATGATCCACCCGCCTCGGCCTCCCAAAGTGCTGGGATTACAGGCGTGAGCCACCGCGCCCGGCCTACACCACATATCTTAATTCTCCAGCAAAATAAGATAGCCCCAGCTTGCACTTAAGGCAATTACATAGAAGCAATAGAACAAGTAAAAATAGATAATGTTTCTCTGCTTGCTTCACATTTGTCAAAGAAACACATGACTGAGCTCAAAATCAAAGAGAAGAGAACTCCAACTCTAGATGAGAGCAGTAGCAAAGCCACATGTGAAGGACATGGGGACAAGGAAGGGTACATAATTGGGGCTACTAACATAAGAAATCTACCAAAAAACTATCTTCATAATCCATATCAAAGATGATGAGGTCTTCATGGCAGTGTGGGTAGTGAGAAGTAGTCGAATTCTGGCAATTTATGGAGCTTTAGGATAATAGAATATTCTGACTGACCAGAAGTAGAGTATGGAAGAATGAGAGAAATAAAGGTTAACAAATGTTTGATGTCAGTGCGTGGTAGGAAAAACTTGGTTTTAATAGAGGTGAAAAGAAAGCACAATAAGCAGGGATGAAGGTGGACCTTCATTTTGGACATTGTTTCAGAGAAGACAGTTGCAAAACAAACCATCTCAAAAGTTTGTGGCTTATAACAATCATCACATTGATAGTGTGCATGAATCTGTGGTTTGGACAGGGCTTGGGGGACTAATTTATCTCCGCCACATTTAGCATCACCTGGAATGGCTTAAAGGCAGGGGGCTGGAGTCACCTAAGGCTCGCTCACATGTCTGGCAGTTGATGCTGAAAAGTCGCAAACCACTCTAAAACTTTGTGTGTCTTTCCACACAGTCTCTACAGTGTGGCAACTTCAGAGTGGCCAGACATCGTTCATGTCAACTCAGGACTCCTACAACGTATGTCCTAAGAAAGAGACAGCCAGGCCAAAGCATATTAAGCTTATTACCTTTTGTATTCATTACTTCCACTGCAATATATTCATTAAAAGTGAGTCACTAACTTTGGTCTACTTTAAAGGAAAGGGATTTCTACCTTGGGGGAACGAGTGTCAGTGCCTGTGTGGCACATTTTCAAACCCCCAAAAAAGTGATCATCAACAAGATGCCCATGACACTTCCAAGGAGAGGTGGTGAGTAGCAGCTCGTTTTTACTAGCCTAGAACTCAGAACAGAGATCTAAGCAGCTAACATAAATTTCAGAGTCAGATAAGAGATCCATAAACCAAGTTCTAGGATACTCCAAAACTTAAAAGTTGGAGAGATAAGGCAGAAGCAACAAAGATGAGAAGGAGCATTAAAAAAAAAAAAAAAAACAACGAGAAATCAGAAAGTATGATTTGCTGTAATAATTTTCCAAATAAAACATAAGCCATATGAGGGCAGCAATTATATTATTTGTCCCTTTGTGAATTTCCAGTACAATGTCTACAAAAATTGAAAATAAATAGTTTTCTTAAAGAATAAATGTTGAACTATAGGAGGTTTCAGGATAGGGCTTCAGCAACTGGGAGGATGGAAAACAGAAAAGCTTAGAGAAGGAGCTGATGGTAAGGAGTCCAATTATTGGCATATACATAAAGCAGGTGGAAATGCATTTCTGGAATTCCTTAGTAAGTTTGGTTCAACTGGTATATCATGGAGACAGTATTTGACATATTGCAAGGAGTAAATCCTCCAAAGAAGGAAGGCCACAGAGAAAAGAGAAAATAAATCAGTCACAGAACCTTGAGAAATACAGCTTCTTAGCATGGTCCCCCAAACTCCAAAAAATCTGATTTTTGTTTAGCTTTCCAGCCTTACCTTATATCTCTCCTCAATCCCTTGGGTTCTATGCTCTGGGTACAATGATACTCTTTCCTTTCAAAATGACCTTGTTGGTCTTTTGCATAAGAAAGCATTACAAATCCTTTAACCAATCATTGAAAAAAATCATCATCACTATTTGAAATGATAAGCTGCATTTGCTTAGTCAAAGGTTTCCTCTAACCCTTCTACTTGGTCTATTAGCAGGAGTAAAAGGACAGCAAGGGGGTCTAGCATATCAAGCCCAATAGGTTAAAGAATAGGCAGAATAGAAATAGGAATCAGGAGGAGAACATTTATTGAGCATCTATAACATGTGCCTTACACATAGTACATTATTTAATTCTCAACACAACCATGTGAATTTGGTATTAACCTTGTTTTACAGAATAGGAAACAGAGGGTAAGTAATTTTTTGTATGTCACACAACTAGTGGTCATATCCAATGCTCTGAAGCAATGAATGTAATAGGAACAGGAAGACACTCATGGGAAGACTGGGGTTCTTGGTCAGGAAATTCAGTTACTGGAAATTAGTGTTCAAAGCAGGAATTCATCATTAAAGTTATAGCTCTAATCTTTGGGGTCTTGGAGTTCAAGCTAGAATCACAAGTTCCTGGGAAAGTAACATGCCAGGCACTATACATTTGAGCAAATGAAATCACAGTTGATATTTTCAATAGAATTACAGTACCTGCATGGTTCCTTTTGAATAGCGTCTAGAGATAGAATTTGCATTTTATATGTTTGTGATAATTAGCCATTTTGAAAGATAGCATTGGTGGAGATAATTACACAACTGTGCATATATTTATAGTTCCCTATACAATCATAGGTGAGCAGAATACTTCACTCTTCAATTAATGACTGTTTAAAATAGTAGCCCAAAACCACTGGATCAATTCCCTGGTTGAGATAATATAGCTTTGCAAAATAACTGCAGCAGTGCAGAGAAATGTTCTTGGAAACCATGACATAATGTCTAATAGTGGGAAACTTGATCCACAATAATATGACCTGGGGTTAATAGGCAGAAGCAGGGGAGGTCTTCTCTTTTGTTTTAATAGAGGGTTCTAGTAATCACACAACTGTTTGTAGAGAATTGTGCTATATATTAGATGTTATGGGAGACACAAAGATGAAAAAAGTAGTTCTTTGTCCTCAAAAAGCTTATAGCATATAACTGACAGTCCTAGGTAGCAAACTCAATTGTGTAAGAAACGTATAATTAAAAAGTGATAATTGCCCTCTCCAACCTCCCAAAATAGGGAGAAATCGCTATGGATTGAGGGTAATTTGGGAAGAAGTCCTAAAGACTGAGAAGAAATAAAGTTCCAGAGGAAAGAAGGTGCATCGTGTATTCAGGGCATGGTGGGTGCACAGGTCTGGGTCAAATGGTTCATACTGGGCTGCAATAGAACTTGAGATTTGAGTGGAAGATTGTATCTCTGTTTAGAGTTTGAACTCAATCCACTGAAGAAATTTATGCAGTATGACATAACACATTTTAGGCAGGTTGTTTTGGTAGTATATACAAAGTAGTTTGCACCTTCTAATATTTTTTTCCTGCCCCACTTCCAATCAAGAAAGATATGTAACTGTCATCTGCGTCCCAGTGAAATGATCTTCCCTGCCTCTAATGACTCTTCATGATCCAAGGAAAGATAAATTTACTAAGTAAGCCATACTTAGCACATTATGGAATTATCATCCTCTGTATTCAGTTTTAATTTTAAATCAAATTCATTTGTGTACAGCCAAACTGTCCCATCTACTGTTTTTACATTTTCTTATCTGAAAAACAAGGGAGAATACACATTCTTTGGGAAAATGCTATCCTGTTATAAAACTAAAAACAAAAACTTTTATAGACCAGGTAACTCAAAACAAAGTGATTTTAAAACATCAGAAATAAATTCCAACCATCTGCCTATCCAGGGTGAGGATCTAGGAATAATGATTTTCTTTTACAGCAAATTATTGTTTAAACTGAATCTCAGGAAACTGAGATCAACCAACAACTAATTAATGTAAAGATGTACATAAAATATATAGGCAGTATCTAGTTCATGGTGACGGACTACTGACACCACTCTGATTGCAGAAATCAGCCTCAGCTAGCCAGGCAGTCCACCATGTTGGGAGGATCCAGGAATTTCCCAGACAATCTTTCAACCTTTCCATTCATGAGATGCTCATAAGAAATGGCCAGAAATACAGTGATCTTCGATCAGCATGTGCAGACACACACACACACACACACACACACACATCATAATCACATCACATCACATGTACACATATAACACTTTGGCCATCAATAGATCATTTTCTGGTGATGTGCTCTGCTTCCAGATTTTATAAGTCCTGTTAAGTATGTGCGTTTGAGCCTGAGAAGAAAGTGGGATAACCAGGAGGACCACAAAGTGAAGGTCAAAGCAGAATGCAGTGAATTTTGGTTTCCATAGACATAGGGGGTGCTAAGATCTAAAGCCTACTTGGGGTAGGGGGGATGACTAGGGGTGACATTACTTCTTACCTCTGAAATTTTAAAAATTATTAGCTATGGGTGCCTGAGGGAACCAAAGGCAGGAAGGAGTTAACCAGAGAACACATGAACTTTTAAACACAAAAGGATGTGATTTTTATGGGCCTAAAGGACAATGATTTGCCTAAATTCTTTCAGAACAAAAATAGAACAGAAACAAAAATACAACTATCAGTGCCTAGCTAAGAATTTTTTCTGGCCTCAGCCTATCAGTTGCATCAGCCTTTATTTAGGACCTATTTATCTTTGCATAATGCCTCTAATGTGAAAGATGCTCAATGAATGGTGGTTTCAATCCCAACCACCATTCATAGCATCTTCCATATTAGAGGCATTATGCAGAGCACTTTACATGCATTATGTCATTTAATATTGATAATATCCCCATGGTATGGTGAATATTATGTCCATTTAAAAACAAAGCTTAGAGAGGTGAAGTCAGTGCTTCCCAAACGTGTATTCCAGAACACCCCAAATGCATATCCAAACGTAGGGCTTACTGTTAGAATTACCCAGAGTTGATTAAAATATATTTTTTATTTACTTCATACTTAAAGCACATATATTAGAGATTATGATCTTTGGCTTAAAAATCTATGTTTAAAAATTTCTGTTTTCCAAAAGATTTGGACAGGTAGGGTTCATGGACCCTATGTTAGGTTACTTGCACAGGTAGGAAATCATCAAGCACAGTTAGTAAGCCCTGAATCCAGGTCTCTCTGACTTGAAAGCTCATGCTCTATTTCTAAGGTGCATATTTTGCTTCATTACCTGGTACATTCTCAGGCTACTTCCACAGGCCTCTTGAACTTTAGATATGTTACCTTTTCTCACTTTGGACCTCTTGTCTTCACCTGGATAACCTGATCTCAGGAGAGCTATACTTCCAGCATTCACTGGAGGTATAGTAGCAGCCTACTGACCCAGAGGCCCAGATCCCCAAAGTGATTCTAAATGACTCCATGTGGATGGTCACATGTAAAGGGAGACACTGACTCCTTTAAGTCAGCAGTAAAATAAATAAATAAAATAACAGGAGAAGGAAAGAGAGAATCCCATTTGTGAAATTTGTTGAAGAATAAAGAAAACATCTAAAATGAAGATGAGTTTAGGATTCACAACTTCCCTGTTTCTGGTGACATTTTGGATAAGGGATGCACTGATAACTAGGGAGAAGCAGAAGCCGGGGCAAGAGACTGAGAGACACGGGGCGGTCCAGCCACATGGTATGCGTTACTCTTCTACGTGGGAAGCCTCTTACAGGTGGTTCCACAGGGCTCTACATTGAGTTTCAAAGGGCACTGCCCCTGCATGGTGGGGAATTGACAGGTGCCTGACGGTGACTTTCGACCAAGATTTACAAAAACCATCAACAAAGGAGAAAACAGTGAGATCCAAAAGAACAAGACCAAGGAAGGTGTTAGAAAGGAGATTGCTAGGAGGCCGAGTTGGATGATTCACTTGAGGCCAGGAGTTCAAGACCAGCCTGACCAACATAGTGAAACCCCATCTCTACTAAAAGTATAAAAAATTAGCCCGGTGTGGTGGCACACACTTGTAATGCCCACTACTCGGGGGGCTGAGGCATGAGAATCACTTGAACCCCGGAGGCAGAGATTGCTTGAGCCAGGATCACACTGCTGCACTCCAGCCTGGGCAACAGAGTGAGGTTCTGTCTCAAAAAAGCAGTTTGCTTAGAAACATGGATATGGAACCCAGAAAGTTGCAGAGAGGAAATGGTGTCTGTAGGTCATGGATAGCAGGTGGATGCAGTTGAATTGTAAAAAGTACAAGAGAGCTCAAAAGAACTGCAATTCTCTGAAAGCACGATATTATATCTTCCTCATCTAACAACCTCAAACGCTTCATCTTTCATTGTCTCTCTCACCAACGTGCCTTTTATTATAGCATTTCTTCTAGTATTTCCTAAGAATTTTAGCATTTGGAGGACCCACTCTATTGTATATTTTCATAAACAAGTTTGGAGTCCTAAAATTATTCCATCATTAAAGAGAAACCACTTGAAAAAAGGTCTCTTTTCCTTACTCTTCTGTCATCAATTAAGAATAGAAATAAACTGTCTACATAGCAGGCTTATTTCTCCAAAGGCTGTATAAAATTAGGCAGCTAAAAATATATTCCATCTTTTTCAAGCATGTCAAGTGGTTATAATATGTCAGGTTGTTACTTTGAAGATGATTGTGATATCGAAAATGAAAGATTAGGATTTCAGGTGGAAAGAGACGGTAATAGCCAGGGGTGATTTTATCTACAAAAGACACTATCTATGTGTTTATAGCCTCGAGAGGGAAAAGTGAGGAAGGAAACCCATGTGCAAAAATTTCACTTGATAGAGAAGAGATTCTGATGTGAACAGAAAGGCTTTCAGAGTTTTCGATGTCAAATCAACATGTCTTTAACCCTGTAAATGTAGAACCAGAGTGTAATTGATTAATTCAACTACTTCAAGCAGTTGACACCCCTAGAGGAGCTTTCTAATAAGGCCAAGAGAAAGAGGTAGCCACAAAGAGCATAATGATATATGTCTACAGGAATATAATGAAGAAAAGGGAAGTGAAAATGAAGGCACAGAACATGTCAATGGTCCAAGTCATCAAATTCAGTCAGCATCTGTCCTCCCAATGGGGAAAAATAAAGGGATCATGATAAACAAAGAGAAGAAATGCTTACAAGTCAGAATGCATTGCCTCTTGGAGTTTAAGGGAAACCTTCTCCTTGGGGGAAAATAATTGTACCTCTAATATAAAGATTTTCAAGGGTAATAATCTACCTGGCGTATACCTTTCTCTGGTTTATTTGAGGCAAAATGGTTTTTTGTTGTTGTTGTTTCTTTGTTTAGCTTTGTTTTTGGTGTTGTTTTAATTCTTAGAAACAAAGAAATAAGCAAAGCTACAAAAACTCTTAAATGAGGCACTTTGGATTTATTCAAACATGTCAGGCAATAGCTTCAATAGCTTACCCATAAGTCAAGATAGACTACAAAGGGGAAATTTATTAGCTCAAGAATGGATACCTTTGAACCCCAGTACAATTTCTGCTGTTAATTTTTGTTGCTGAGTGGCTGGGACAATTCACACAACTCTCTTTCCTTATCTGCTAGACTGCAAAGGAGGAATAATTTTCCCAACCCCAACCTTATAACCATATAATAAGACTTAATAAGATAATGATTCTTAAGGGATTTCAATAACCTGAAAGAGAGAGGCAATAAAACATATCTTATTATCATCAACATATGCATTTTAGAATAATTATTTTAATGGCTCAATTTTCTCCCATAATAATGAGGACTACAATCTTGGCTAATTTAACTGGGGAGTGTCTTTCATGCTTGAGTTACTATACATGAGAATCAAATAAGACATTTTCCCTCCCTCCCTCTTACCCTTCCTTCCTTCCTCTGTACTTTCTCCCTTTCTTTCCTTCTATCCTTTAGTTGTTGCTGTTGCTTTTGTTGTTTGTTCCCCAGGAATGGGGAATGAGCATTTTTGCCTCCTATAACTTTTCACCTGCTGAACTAACTTTATACTAAACCTTTTCATGTCTTAAGGTCCCATGTTTCAGCCCTATGGAGATACAGCCCCATGGAGATATAGCCCTTTGGAGACACAGCCCTATGGAGACACTTCCACTGGTTGTTGTTAGTCCCTCCGACAGGCTGTTGTGATGCTGCCTATTTTATCTTGCTCCCATATACTGTCTATGCTGATGAACATACATTCAGAACAGCATCTGTGGGGTTTATTTTTATCCAGCTTGGCTTTGAAGAAAGGAAAGAGCACAGCTGTGAAAGACAGAGGGTTTAGCTGTGTCACTAAGTCAAAACTTTGAAGCATTGAAATGATACTATGTTTCTATGTGTGATTTTCAGAAAAGGATAAAAACTCTCCCAAATGTTTTGGAGTATTCAGCAGACAAAGTGATTACCAACATGACAAGGAAGGCACCACACACTTGCGGCATCCAGTTTTTTTCTTATAATGATGGAGTTCATACCGACATTATGGAAATAGCCAGACCAAAAATAAATGGGTTTATTGGAGATGTTCTGTGGTTGGCAAACTCTCAGCCTGGGACTCAAGGGAACCCAAGAATTAGCAAACACAAGGATCAGTCTACTCCTTGCTGTTGACATTCTGTGTATTCTAGGACCTTCGGACCGTTAGTTCAACAAGCATGTTTGAACACCTCTTATGTGCTTGGCAATGTGCAAAGTGCTAGAAATGTATAGAACAGTAGAACACATCCCTTTCCTGGGCCAGTCACTGGATATGATTCTAATTGATACACTCTTTAAAGATAGCTTATTTATTAATTCAATGAATGATTATTGAATGCTTATGTAGATTAAGAAACTGTGTTAGACAATCTCAGAGGACAAAGAAATATGATGTAGTCTATGTAAAACTTGGCAGGGGAGTAAAGCATGCACTCAAATATTTACTGTGTACTGGAGCATAACATAAATGCTAGAAGAGAAATGCAAAAATAATAATTTGATGGCAGTCCAGAAAATGAAGAGATGGTTTCCAGCTATGGTTACCAATGAATGTTTTATGAAATAGGTATATTTGAGTTCTCCATTGAAATGTAGGCATGATCTTAATAGAAAGAGATGGAGGCGGGCAACACAGATTCACAAAAAGAAATTCATGATAAAGATATATAGACAGGAATATGCAAAACAGAATTCAGCAATAACATATGGGCTACTTGAATTGACATATGGGTTTTATAAAGGGAGCAATGAAAAAGTCTAAAAAATAGTGCCTTTATTTTAGATAGGAAATTTCAACTCAACTTTATGGAAAGAAATGAAGCTCTAGATCACAATTGGGCTTTTCTCAACTTTTAGGTCCTTCCTTAGTTGCCATCACCTTAGGTCCCATTTATTCTGCCATTCTACTGTGTTTTTATTTTCTTACAGCACTTACTAAATTAAAATTATTACGATAAGTTTCTTATTTTAATTTTAATTGTGTTCTTCTACCTTATACACTAAAATCCATGAAGGCAGAAATATTGTCTCTTTTTTAAAATCGTTCTATAACAGGCACATAGCATGGTGCCTGCTAGCGTGCAAAGGACACTCAATGAATATGTCTTGAATATTTACTAGAAGAAATCCTCCAAAGTAGAATTTTAGAAACTTTTTCATCACTCTTAGGTAGATTAAATTAGAAGAAAGAGCATGAGACTAGTCAGGCACAGAAGCTCTAGTCATACACGGTATCAAGTGATGAGAGCCATAGTCAGGGAGTAGAATTGAGAAAGGATCAGATTAATGGGTTCTGGAAGGAAAAATCCAATAAAAGTAGATTTAGGGAGCAAATGAATGAAAGAATACAAGATGCCTCAGGCTTCGGATCAGAGGGTGGAAGACAGAGACCCCTACTGGGAGGAAAAATGGGAAAAGCCAGAAAGAGTGATGATTTGGAGAATAAGCCAATGACTGTGGCTTCAGACACATTAAGATGTCAGGACAGCATGCAGGTGATGTACTCAACAGACAGCTGGGAACTCCAGGCTGGGGCTGTGCAAGTAGGCAGGCTGAGGGATATAGATTTGGGGTCACCTGATCTGAGATGTTGTAGCTAATGAACGACATCTCTAAGGGTGAATGTAAAAAGAATGCGGCAGAGGGTAACAGCCAGGATCATAAGGAATGTCCAAGTTGAGGAAGTGGGAAGAAGAAAAAAAGGCCAACAGAAAGCTTAGAGCTCAGACACTCAGAGAATTATAATAAATATAGCCCTGGATTAATTATTTATGGTTTATAACAACTTGCAATGAGAATAGCTTCTAATACCACAGTGCTCCAACCCTAATGTCCACAATCTGCTCTCACTCATATTTTAGCAGATCTCAATTGCAAGTTCAAATAGTAGCTGAATCAAAAAGTGGTTTGGGAGAGCTTAGCCCCTCTATAATCACCACTGGCCTTCCCAAACAATTCCTTGACAAGCACACAATCTAAATAAAACCCCAAGCTTACTGTGTAAATGCAATTTCAAAAAAAGAAAAAAGATTCCCTGGGTGCTAACCTTATAACCTGGTGGCTGCTGCTCCTGCTGGCCTAATGCCTGGGAAAGCTGCAGCTGCAGCAGGAGCACACTGAGGTGCAAACTTGGCTAAGTGGGCCCAAGGGGCCTTCAGAAGGAGAAGCAATTCCTCTCTGGTAATGATCTGTGCACTTCACAGTTGACAGAGGTAAGATGGCCTTATTGACCATTTTTCCTCAGAGACCCTCTAAAATCAACTTGCCTGAGCATGCAGATGCCTTGTAATTGAACCCTATTAGTAATATAGTCTCCTTTGGGCCGGGGGTTAGGACATAGGTCACCTGTGGTCCATTGTTACTAACTTCCAAGATGGCTCAGTTCTTTATTTTGCTCCTCCCTTCCTCTATTTAGAGAGGATGATGGACTGTCATGATGGAGGGCACTTAAAAAGTGGATTAAATTGGATCATCCAAGAAAAGTGAAAGGATGTTCATAGGGGAGTGATGGCAGGAGAAATTGGACTTCATCAGGTTGTGGTCCTTCTTGAAAGCATGCATAGAAATGATGAAGACTTCTCAAGGTTCCTTCTAGTGTGATAGTTTCTCATGAAGAGTGCTGAACTCTTAGAAATCTGTCCTAGTAATTAGGAAGTTAATAAATCAAATTGACAGTATTAATCAATATACAAAGCCTTAGCATTGACCTCATATTTGAAACAAGGAGAGTTTTAGCAGCAAATCTTTTACGTGATTTTGAAGCTCTGTTCCAAGCTATAAGAATAGTTCATAGTCTTGTCAGGCTACAATAAATTATTTCACAGATTTAACTAGTATGATACCTCAGATTGTACAATGTCAGCCTGTAATCAGAGAGTTTCAATAGCTAATCAGAGGTTATAATGGAAGAAAATCAAGGTAAAGTCTGCTTTTGACAAGGAATGATACTTTGCTTTTAAATTTTATAGAGGTGATAAAAATAATTTAGAGAAGTTTTTAGCACCTCTCTTAAAAAGAGCTCAAAGCACTTGGCAAATATCAACATATTATTTCTGAGAAAATTTCCTATGAAAGTAGAAGAGAAAGCAATTATTGGGTTGCATAGTTTGTACATTCAGCAGAGAAAATGCTATACGCTGAGTTTCTTTCTTTCTTTTTTTTTTTAAAGTAGCTCATTCTATTCAAGTTCATACAAGTACTTTGGAAATAACCAAGCTTCAAAACCCACACTGGAAATACTAGCGACGAAAGCACCTGGCTTGGGGTCAAGGTATGCCAGCTGTAGTTCTGACTGGCAGTGGGGTCTTGGATAAGTCACTTCATCTTTCTTCTGTAAAGTGAGGATCTTGTTCTAGAAAAGGTTTCTCAACCCCAGGACTATTCACATTTTGAGCTAGATAGTTTTTAGATTCAGGGGGCTGTTATGTGCATTCAAAAATATTTAGCATCTGTAGCCTCTACCTACTATGCTAGTGGCAATCCCCAACCCAACCCCATTATAGCAACTGCATTCCCAAATGTCCCTTGGGAAGAGGGAGGACAGGAAGAGCCCTGCTAAAGTGCCACGGCTTTAAGACACCTCAATAGACTTGCTCTACCTTCTCAGCCTTTTTTCTTAGATGGCCAGATTGTACAACGGTGGCAGGAAAGGATCCTGCATATGGACTCCATAGACCACCACAAGGCTTGCACTTGGTTAGCCACAGCACCCAACTACACGGCACCTTTTTTTTTTTTTTTTTTTTTTTGAGACAGAGTCTTGCACCGTCTCCCAGGCTGGAGTACAGTGATGAGACCTTTCCAGGTTCAAGAAATTCTCCTGTCTCTGCGTCCTGAGTAGCTGGAATTATAGGCATGTGCCATCACGCCCGGCTAATTTTTGTATTTTTAGTAGAGATGGGGTTTCACAATGTTGGCCAAGCTGGTCTTGAACTCCTCACCTCGTGTGATCCACCCGTCTCAGCCTCCCAAAGTGCTGGGATTCCAGGCATGCGCCACTGTGCCCAGCTTACATGGTACCTTTTACTGCAGTTTATTTGGACTCTCTTGCCCTCCCTCATGGCTGGCTCTTGCTCAAAACCATGTTATCACAAATGCCTGGCTCTCTATGTTCTTGGCTTCATTGTTGTGGCCCTAGGCAAGTGGAACCTAGCAACTCTTGGCTTCCTGAAATCTGGATCTCTGGTTGGGATGCAGCTTCCATACATTCTCTGGCTCCTCTCCTTATCTTGAGTCACTCTGAGCAATCATCTTCCTGAAGATCCCAGGAATGTCCCACCTTCTTTTAATTAGAAATTATACATTTCTGAAAAAATTTAGAATGGAAAATTATGACATTTATATTTACAGAAAATGTAAATTTTCAACATTGTGTATCCTTTTTGTTGGTGGTTTGAGGTTAGAAAAGGGCAAAAAAGAAATGTGGGAAACAATGGAAATTTGAAAAAATATAAATTATATGGTGCTTTAAAAAGGTTTCTTTACCATTTATTCAATAAGCCAGTCCTTCATTTTTCTACATCACTGAAATAACCATTGTACTAGGACCTAGTCTGAACACAAAATGTGACCCAAAAGAATTAAAAGCAGGGATTTGAAAAAATATTTGCACATCCATGTTCAGAGAAACAGTATTCACAATCATCAAAAGGTGGAAACAACCCCGATGTCCAACAACTGAATGGATAAACAAAATGTGGTCTATATACAATGAAATATTATTCCACCTTAATAAGGAGTGAAATGCTGATACATGCTACAACATGGATGTAACTTGAAAACATTATGCTACCTGAAATAAACCACACATAATTGGCCGGGCGCGGTGGCTCAAGCCTGTAATCCCAGCACTTTGGGAGGCTGAGGCAGGTGGATCATGAGGTCAGGAGATTGAGACCATCCTGGCTAACATGGTGAAACTCCATGTTAAAAATACAAAAAAATACAAAAAAATACAAAAAAAAATACAAAAAATACAAAAAAATACAAAAAAAAAAATTAGCTGGGCATGGTGGCAGACGCCTGTAGTCCCAGCTACTTGGGAGGCTGAGGGAGGAGAAGCCAGAAGGCAGAGCTTGCAGTGAGTTGACATGGCGCCACTGTGCTCCAGTCTGGGCGACAGAGCTAGAATCCATCCGTTAAAAAAAAAAAAAGGAAAAAAAATATGATTTCATTCGAAGTACCTAGAATATGCAGATTCATAGAGACAGTAGAATAAATGTTACCAAGGATCAAGGAGCGGGGTAATGGGGAGTTACTATTTAATGGATACAGAATTTCATAGAAATGATAAAAAGGTTCTGGAGATGGATGGTGGTAATGGTTGCAAAACAGTGTGAGTGTACTTAATGCCACTGAACCGTACACTTAAAAATGGTTTAAATGGTGAATTTTATATTATGTGTATTTAACATTAATAAATAATAGAAAAGCAAAATGTGAAAGTGAAGATAAATAAGACAGTATTTGGTCTGAAAGTGTGCACAATAAAGAGAAGTTGCATATAGAACTTGGACAATCCCAAAGATGCATGATAAACTGTTTAAGGGGCAACAAAGGAGAGATGCTAGTCTCTGGAATAATTTAGGGCTGAGAAGAGACAAAAATCAGGAGACTGTAAGACTCATATAATGAAACAATGTGTTGAGTATAGAATCATATTTCCTAAATGACAGACTGGATGATCAGGCTGCTCTTGGGAAGTTGCACAGAGAACCTGAGGGACTCAAAAGTCAGTGCGTTACCTAAAACTGAAGCCCGGAGCTAAGTATAGAAAACCCAGGAAGTGCAGGCAAAACAGTGAGGAAGTAAAACATGGGAACAACGCAGAAACAGGACACCTGGCGATACCAGCATGGAGGTTCTGTAAAGCAAGCATTGTGGCTTCCACACCCATGGTGGTCACAGAGCAGGTGCCTAACAGGTGCTTGTTGAATGAACTACTTCTGCCAAATCCACCTTTGTCACCCAGAGCTTCTACTAACTAGTTGTTTTCTCCACATACTGTCACTTGAGACTGTCACAAGAGACAGACAGTCACTTGGTTAAGTGTTCTGAGGGGAGGAACGACTTAATCTTAAGGGGTAAATCGAAGTTTCCTGAGTGAAAAAAGAGGCGAAAGCATATGCCAGTGTGAACCTTGAAAATTTGAGAGATATCTCAGTTAATTTAGAAAGTTTATTTTGCCAAGGTTGCGGATGTGCGCCCCTGACACGGCATCAGGAGGTCCTGATGACACGTGCTCAACGTGGTCAGAGCACAGCTTGGTTTTATACATTTTAGGGAGACATGAGACCTCAATGGACATACGTAAGATGAACACTGGTTCAGTCCAGAAAGTCAGGACAACTCAAAGCAAAAGCCAGAGGACTCACGGGAGGGGGCTTCCAGGTCCTAGGTCCATAAGAGACAAATGGTTGCATTCTTTTGAGTTTCTGATTAGCCTCTCCAAAGGAGGCAATCGGATATGCATTTATCTCAATGAGCAGAGGGGTAATTTTGAATAGAATATGAAGCAGGTTTGCCCTAAGCGGTTCCCAGCTTGACATTTCCCTTTAGCTTAGTGATTTCGAGGGCCCAAGATATTTTCCTTTCACATCAGGGAAAGGAGATGGCATGAGGAAAGTCATGAAGATGTAGGCACATGAGGAAGATTGAGAAGCTACTGGGCCACCGTGTGTGTGTGTGTGTGTGTGTGTGTGTGTGTGTGTGTGTGTGTACACACTGGAGGTGGGGATGAAACTTGAAATCTAGATTGTGAAGGGTTATTACCTTTTGCCTTTCACCTTCTGTAACCACCCAGGCCCTTTGTTGGCTCAGAACACAACAATGTATTATCTATAAGTAGATTTGCTTTCTCATGTCAAGTAATAAGTATGCACACATTATTCACTGTGCTTTGAATGTTTCTAATTTTGTTTTAAGCAAATTTATTAGACTATGAGGAATCTTATATTTCGCAGTCTGTGCTGGATTTTGGGATGTTAGTAAATTGTGAGAACAGAAAAAACTCCACTGCATTCTTCAGCTTTAAAATGAGAATATTAATGTTATTCCCTGGACTCTCATGAGGATTAGCTAAAATAAATGCTAAACACTTTCATGGTTCCTGATACGCAGCTACTGTGCTATGCACGATAGTGATTAGCAATATTCTTATAAAACAAAATTACAGTAGAGCCTCTTTACCTGGCACAATCAAGACTAGTAGTGAACCAATAAAATCCATTAAAGCAGGAAGTAATTAAAATAATACATACAAGTATAAAATATTTTAAATGAAACATAAGTTTTGATCTATTTGCAAAACTTTTGATATATGATCAGAAATGTTTAGGGTGGGTCTTCTGACTGGAATTTCAAATCACCTGCTTTGTATGAACCACACCCTTGATATTTCACTTCCCATTTCTTTAACCAAACAATTTTAAAATCACTGACAAAGCATTCTCAATGTAGAATCTACCTAGATTTTTGTCACACTGAGTGTCATAAAATATTACTTTATGTCGACTTAATTGGACAGCTTTTTTCTCCCTCCCTAGTACAGTTTGCTTCTATTGAGACTTGAAAGTTTTTAATTGATTTTTAAGAGTAACATAGGGGAAGAAAAATCTTTCTTTTCACAGTTAGTGTTTTATTGGCCTTTAAAATATTTAACTAAAATGTAGAAAATAAATTTAGAAAGTAAAAAATAATTAACTAAATTATAGTATGTTACATGTGTTGTAAACAGGTTGGATTGTTAGGAAACTAACACCTCTGATGCTCTACAGTTTCCAATTCAATGGAGTCAGTTGTTAAATGCAGCAAGGGGTGGACCTTGGCTGGCCATGAGCCTCCACGAGGTGTTGGGGAGCAATGATCAGTATCACTTTGGGCCTGGGATTCAGACTGTGGTCCTCCCACCAGCAAAGTCAGCATCACTGGGAAGCTTATTAGACATGCAGGATCTGGACCCTGTCCCAGCCCTGAGAAATTGCATCTTTATTTTAGCAGAATCGCCAGGTGAGTTTCATGTTCAATACAGTTTGAAAAGTTCCTCAAACTTTTAGCAGTTATGACTGGTAAATCTTACAAAGCTCCCTTGGGGAGTTTTGTAAAATCTCTAGAGGCTGCACTCATGATCAATTACTTCAGAGTGTCTGGAGGTAGAAACTCTGCATATTAAAAAAAAAAATCAATCAACAAACCTCACTGGTGATTACAACATGCAGCTAAGGTTAATTTGTTCTCAAACCTGAGGTGAGGCACTTCAGACTTCCCTGGAGAATCTGAGAGGCACAGCTTGCCAGGCCCACCTTCAGGGTTTCTGAGTCTGTAGGTCTAGAGTAGAGCCAGATGATGCTCCTGCAGTTGGTCCAGAGACCTCTCTTTGAAAACCCGTGGTATAGGGGGCAAGCACTCCCTTTAATCTCGAGTTTTAACTAATGTTAGTAGCCTGCTTCAGTGGGGTTATTTTCAAATAGCTTCAGTTGTTGTATGCTTTTGAAGTTAGGGTCATCTTGAGTCAGATACATTTAGATAGCACTTATTTATCTATTTATTTGAGACAGGGACTTGCTCTGTCACCCAGGCTGGAATGCAGTGGTGCAATCATAGCTCACTATAACCTAAAATTCCTGGGCTCAAGCTATCCTCTCACCTCAGCCTCATGAGTAGGTGGGACTACAAGCTCATCACCATACCTGGCAAACTCTCTTTTATAGTAGAAATGGGGTCTCACTGTGTTGCCCAGATTGGTCTCAAGCTCCTCTCATTAAGCGATTCTCCCACCTTGGCCTCCCAAAGTGCTGGGATTACAGGAGTGAACCACCAAGTCCAGCCTAGGTAGCAGTTCATTTTTTAAAAGGAGATACAACGGGAGAGAAAAAGGAAAAACACGTTGAACACAAACATGTTGAAGTTTGTGTGTATGTGTACAAAATATATCTTCATCCAATTGGTCTCATTTTCTGAGCTGTCACTCCTAACACTTTCTTCCTTCTTTGAAGCTTGTTAGCCCAATTTTTTGAAAAGTACAAGTTTGTCCAATTTAAGTACCCCACATTTTTATGTGGTTGGCATATTTTTGAATACAGACCCATTTTTTTTCATGCTGTAGATGGTGTCAAATTCTGAAGGAGGCTAGAAGTAGCTGAAGTGCAAAATTGCATCATTCAAAGTACTTGCACCACATTTTCCTGAAAATCTGCTGGATCTCAGGCTGCATATTCACATCAACCATCTAAACGATTTTTCAAGCATGCTTTTTATTTTATAATCCTGCCAAGCTTAACATATGGAAAGCCTTGTGAATATTTCTTCGGGTCTTGACTCTAGGAGATTTCCAGTAACATGAATTGTCTGGGAAATAAATGTTCTCTAATTTTCAGCTGAGTCTCAAATCTACGTAGCAACACAGTTTAAGCACAATCTAATGCATATACAATTCCTGCTTATCATGAACTAATCCCATTTTACAGAAGAGAACACCAAGTCACTGCAAGATTTTTATCCTGTACTTCACACAGTTGTGTACCATGATCACTCAGGAATTTTACTTACCAGGTCAATACTCTGGAAATGAAATCAGCTTGGCTACATTTGCTGCACGGCAATAGGGTAAAACCCACACAAAATGAGAATAATCAAGCAGCGATTGAAAACAAGTGCTTCGTTTTCTGATAGTTAGAGAGCTCATTGTCAGTAGCTGACTGTCATACACCTGAATCCACACTGGTGGCTCTACCCACAAGTCATGTGGTGTGTCTAGACACCATGTAGCATGACTAAAGGAATCCAAAGGAAAGAAATGTTGCTTAGTGCCTATTGATAGCAGCTTCTCCTCTCTGAGCAAGACCATGACTAAGAGATGCCAATAACATCAGGCAAGACCAGCCTCTCTTTTCAGCCATTTCTACACCTCACTGTTCTGGGCAAAGCAGGTGAGCAGCCCAAAGGTAAGGAGAGAAGTCAAAGATTTGCTTGGTCAGATACAAAAATTCCCAGTAGCTGACAGGCCTGGCAGAACCAGAGTCTGAAAGTGTGGAAAGTCTGCATAGGGTATAGGAACATCAGAATAATAACCCATGGGCAGCAGGAATTCCCGACGGACAGTCGGCCACCCTGCCTTCTTTAAATCAGTAGATGATAGAAGCACTTGACATGTTGAACAGAATAGTCTCAGGAGGAGAGGAAATCCTGAGAATCAGAGCATCACAAATTCAGAGGCCTTTCATTCTGAAAAAAAAAGGTCCCCAGAAATCCATATTCCATCTGTAGGGTGACTTCCCTAGACTGAGACAGAGAGTGAGAGTGAGAGCAAGTGCAAGAGATTGATTTGAAATATACATTGGGAAAGCCACAGAGAAGTCACGAGGATCATGTCATTGTCCTGAGTCTCTAAATTAATTGCCAGGATCTTACAATCCCCTCCTTCTTCCCACTCAGCACCCAATTATCTACTCTGTTCTCTGGGATGTGAGCTGCCTCTGTCTTGTGATTCTATTCTACATCAGCAGGAAGTAGCCAGGTGCTTTCACGGTAGTGAGGATATTTGTTCTTAGAATAAAAATATCCCCGCCATAGAGTAGTCAAGCCTGCTATCCAACTCCCAGCAAACCCTGGACTGTTTGCAGGGACACTGGGTCTTTGAACCGCTTCTGTATGGGTGCTTTCTGGCTTTAGTTCCTGCATTTGCACTCTTAGATTGCTTGTCTGGCTGCCAAGCTTACTGCTTTCCTATCCTTTCAAGTTACGCAGCTCCCTCCTCCACTGCCTGTTTCATCCTTCCCCTGCTGACATGTCCAGTAACGCAGTTCTGAACTATCCTCTAACTGGTCACCAAACACTTTTTCTTTCAACTTGGTCACTAGTTCTGGCTTTATAACTTGGTTCACTGAGAACAGGGAGCAGCACCTAGTGTTGGATTTTATTGACTTTGCAGCCCACCTTCGTGGGTTCAAACCCACCTTTGCCACTTACCTGTTGAGTAAGCCTGGGCAGGTTAGATAATCCCTCGATTTTTCCATTTGTAAAAAAAATCTAATGTTATAACCCACCATATAGAGTTAAAGATTAGGTGGTTAGTATCTCTAGAGGCTTTATGGTGACAACACACAGCTAGCACCACATAAATGGTAAGTACATTGAAATTCCATCTTGGAATTTTACCCTGCCTTTCTCTTATCCCAGAATTACCTTCTCAGTTTTTATTCTCATTTCACAATCTTCTACTACTTGTGGCAATTATAGTTCAAGCCCATTTTCTGAAGCTTTCAGTTCAAGGAAATCTCCAATACACTTAGTCAAGCACTTTTCCCTGGAATTTTAAGACCTTGTTAAGAGAACATTCTTTTATTGCACTCTAAGCATATTACACCAAGCTCTTCAAAATACGGCTTTTGGAAAGCTATTTGGAGTCAAGACCCAGATAGGCTGTTCAAGTCAGCCATGCCCCTAACAGCGATGATGTCAGAAGTCTGCATTTGTCTGCAGGTAGCTAAAGTTTATTCAACTCCAAAACTTTTATCAGTGCCATGTAACATTTTAAAAGGAAACTTTGAACTGATTAGGAATTCTCAAAGAGAAAGCAAGCTCTAGCTCACTCAAGGGATGGAGCCAGGTCAGTTGGATGATCTCTCTATATCCCATAAATCATATAATTCGTACCTATTAAAAAGGACCAGGTATTGGATGGCTCAGTGGGTTTGAGTTACGGAGGCCTTCATCTCAAGGTCATTAGTCTGAAGTCAGCCCACTTTGAGGGGAAGCCTGTAAAATCAGCCCTCCTTGTGAGCCAAAAATGTATTTTCAGTAATCAGTGCTTATGTGAGTCTAAAGGATCATGAAAACTATATCCATTCATTTAACACAGGGCTAATACAAATTACCCTGAGTGTCCATGTTCATCTATTCCATAAATAGAAGAATTTCCATGATAGGGGGAAAAAAGAGAAGAAAAAAATGATAAAAAGAGATTTTAAAAATTTGAGAAAGAAAATTTAAAAAGGGGTACACTTTATGTTCAACTCTAGTTAGAATATGTGCATATAGCACTCTTCCGTAAAGTTGAATGAATGGACTTGGGGCAGTGACCATGGAGAAAGATAAAACTGACCCCAGGAGTTTCATCTGGGGAAGCCAGACTATGATTTGGTAGACCAGTCCCTCTACCCCAAACCCTGCCTCTGGGACACAGACCAGGCAACCCATCTCTACTGTTGTACAACCGCAACACTGCATCAGAGAATCCCTTCCAGCTTTGAAACACTATGAGGCTGGTTAGTATCTTAAATAAATGTAGAATGGGTGCATGTTACCTGTATTACAAGTAGATATGTATAAATAAATAAATTAGAAATCTGCCATTAATAATGAAATCAGTCTTGCCACATTAGGAAAGCTGATCAGTTGTTCAGTAGGAATGTATTTGGTACCCATTGTATGTTAAGCATTATTTGAATTTTGGGAAGTCAGTACTGTCCTCACATGTAATCAGAATCTCTACCTAAATTCTTACAAGAATTGTCTCTATTGTTAACTTGATACTTGCAGTATGTTGCTCTGGGCTATTTTTATGTTGTTACCTTTTACGTGTAGTTACCTTGTCTTCCTTACTAAACTGTAGGCTGCTGATCGATTTAGCTAAGCAGAATAAGAAAACCTTAAATTCTGCCAGTAAGCTGTCACTTCTCCTTGCCTAACAGAATCATCAAAGCAAAGTTTTCAAATTTAAGATGACTCATGAATATATTCTAATGGATTTTGTGTTCTGTCTACTTAGAGAACACCACACATAAACTTGGTTTTTGTATTATGAATATCACCTTTCGAACATGATTTAGAATGGTCCTAAAAGAACTTTCTACCTTGTCAGGGACTTATTGTTCCTTCACACTTTCTAATGGTTATGCTTCTACAATATTTATCATGCAAATAAAGCAATGGATCAGCCATGCAATTAAATACTCAGATGACTTGAAATATAAGCAGCAGAAAATCAGATGGCCTTTTCCTCTGGTTGCTTCAAAGATTCCCATCGATTCTCTATGCTATCCAAAGAGGAGAGAATTAAGTTGGAGAGAGTCACTGATACTGGTAGTTAGTAAAAATACGAATGAAATCAAACAGCACTGATAGACAGAAACATGGGTATGCTGGTGATAAACCTGGGCAGATTGTTAGATATCTATGTCCAGCTACAAAGGTTAATAGTTACACTACTGCCATAAGAAATCATACCTTGACAGTAAAACCTCAGAGGGCTAACACTAAAAAAATTCAAACAGCAGCTGTTATTGCCTAAATGACTAAATGGCCTTAATAAAAATATCAGATAATCCAAACCCAATTAATTCAGAGCTCATTTTTCTGGTCTCTTGCATTTCAAATTAACAAAGTTTTTACTCTACCTGACTGGTAAATGTTTCCTATCACATTCTATTTGCATCTAATTATTTCTTGAGGCACCAGATTTCAGTGGTCTGTGGAGCATGGGTTATTACAGGCTTTCTCCACAGGTGAAGATATCAAAACTGTCAGACCTTACCTGCATTAAGGGTCCATAGTATCGGTGTCACATGGTTATCACATTTCACTGCAAAAGACAGATAATTACCTACTAATAAGAGATAATAAGCTTGTGACATGTGAATATACCAGTATATGTGTGTGGAACACTAATTAATCCCGTTTGTATTGAGTATTTGCTAGGTTTTATAGGCGCACTAAGCTACTTTTTGCAGAAGGTTCACAAGATCTGCCCTCAAGATCCCAGAATGTGTGTGTGTGTGTGTGTGTGTGTGTGTGTGTGTGTGTGTGTGTGTGTTTAGGGTAAGGAAAACAACAATAACCCACACACCAATACTTGGAATTACATAGTGAAAATTCTATTGCATCATTATTGAAGGCAAGGGTTTTCTTATTCTTCATTACCTGCGCTGGTACCTATAACAATTCCCTGAACATAATAGCAAAGCCATAAACATTTGTTAGGGAAATAAAAACATGAATGAAATTTTAAAATGCTAATTAAAAGCTAAATATCAATAAGGCTGTAAGGATAAAGAACAGATATATTGCTGCAGGTGAAAATATTCAGGAAAACTCTAGGAAGGAAGAACTTGAACTGGTTCTTGAGACATAAATAGATCTTGGGAAATTCAGATATACGCCACATAATTCAGCACAAGGTTCTTATTACCTATTAGACACTGTGTTAAACACTTTTAAAAATGCAAATATGAATTATGCCAGGCTCTTGTTCTCTGTGACCTTATAATTTACAAAAGGGCATACAACATAAATAATAAAGCATGTTAGAAGTGCTGTAATAGAGATAACATACAGTATAATGAAAAGTCAGGAGAAGGCTTCTTGGAGGCTGTGTTGGAGGAAATTATTCAATTGAGTTTTAGTGGATTAACAGTAACCAAAAATTTAATAAAAGGAAAAATGGATGGGGAAAAAAATCACTCTGGGCAAGAAGAGATGGAAAAAATGCTTTGTGTTAAAAGCAAGATATTCCAGATTTTAATGTGAATAATGTGCCAAGTAGATTAAATTTTAAATGTGTTTAACAGCACAATCTTTTTATTACTCACTTATTCATTCAATAGATATTATTGAACACTTGTTATATGCCAGGTACTGCTCTAGGCATCAGGGATGTAGGCAGACTAGTTTCCTGAGGAAAGACAAATAATAATCAGCAAGCATCATCAGAAAGATGATGTCAGATAATCAGGAGTTTTCTTAAAAAAATGTAAGAGGGTAAATTATCCTCCACCCTATCCCTATTCCTGAAGCTGTTTGAAAGTACTGTTCTAGAGCCTCAAGTTTGCAAAGAGGAATCATGAGACATAGGCTTGAAAGATGGGATTGGGATGTGGCCTAAGTGTGAAGACTCCAAAATATCACATTAAGTACTTTGCATGGCTCATGCGGAGACACTCATGAGCAAGAAAGTGAAAACAACCACAGCTGTATTTTATTCTTGTGTTCCTGAATCCCTGTGGTTCAGGGCTTGGTCTGACCAATGAACTGTGTGTTATAGGTTCACAATGTGACTGCCCTGACATCCAAGTGAGTGAGCAATGAACCTGTCTCATTAAACAGGGTGTGGAGGTGTTTGGTTGTTGTCAAACTCAAGCATTGAGTTACATGTTGTGTGAGCTGCATACAAGTCAAGCATAGTAGGGCCATAAATCAGTTCATGATGCATTAGACATTCAATAAGAAAACCAACTACAAAATGGTCCTTTACCACAGAGAGTTTGAGGAGCACTGCTTTATGATAAGAACTAGTGTTTATTATGTATTATGTGTGAAGAACTATTATAAATGCTTTCCATGGATTATCTCATTCCATCCTTCCTGTAAACCTATAAGATAGAAACTATTTTCCCTATTTTGCAGGCATGGCACACTTAAATTACACAGGGTCACATGGCTGGGAAAAGTCAGAGCCAGCATTGGAATTGAGCCTCCATGCTTCACCCCTACCCTCCACTGTCTGTGTGTGTGTCTCTGTCTTATGCTAGCCTGAGTTCCTTGAAGTAAAGGCACATTATTTTTTCATCTTTGATCATTTAGCCCTGGGGATATAATACAGGTTTAGGGAATGTTGGTTGAATCATTCAGAAAGAATAATTCGGAAAAAATTTGTGGGATAGAATGGGAAGGAAATGCTGGAGGAGAGAAAAACACACTTTAAAAAGTAGTGGATAAATACTAAGGTGGCACTGATAGAAATCAGGATGGAGAAGGCTTATGAGAAACAGTGCCAAGAGAGAATACACAGGATTTGATAACAGGTTGGATGTGGAAGTCAAGGAAAGAGGGGTCAATGATGATATATTGTATGGAGCTGAGTGATGGGGCAGAGTGAGCCAAGAAAAGGGAAGATTGAGAGAGGTCCGTGGGACATCTAAGAGAAGCCATTCAGCTGAGAGTATACAATACACAATGTGTAGTGCTTTATGTCATATGCACTGATTTAAATTGTATAAAGACCTTCTATAATGGCACCAGGATTTCCTCAAGGGCTTGACAATATGGAATGAAGGGAAGCACTAGGGGAATAGTCCATAAAACTGAGAAAGTGTCAACAATCAGCCATATCACAGAAGTGGGTTTAGGGTTGAAAAGATGCCTATTATAAGGGTGGGGCTAAACCCTCCCAATCCGTTGCTTGACTTCACCACCCTGTACCAGGGTTGGGGTGGTGAAGTCCTTCCAGAGGAGCTACTGGTTGCTTGTACACATCAGCATCCATGAACTGTTATTTTTAAGTGGAGAAACAATTTTCGTTTCCAAAGCTCATGGTTTTTCTCAGAGAATTCATGCCTGCCTGAATATTCTTGGCTCTTTCTAGCTAAGAATGAGTCTACATCAGGTTAAGGGCCCAGAGTGGATGATTTCCCAATATACAATGTCTACGTCAAAGATATATCTTATCTATAAAATGAACAGTCATTTAATTATGTCATGGCCTATGAAAGAACTATGTGGGACTTATCCAGCTTTCTACTCAGTTATACCTGTAATTAGGATGACTCCTGAATTTTCTAAAATTAATCTATTATCCTACTTCATAGTATTTAACATGCTGATCTTTTTTATTCATTTAAACTCCCCTTAAATTGAGCAGAATCTCATTTTCCTTCACAGGACAGTTGACGTGGCTCTTTTTCACTTTACTATATCATAAATCTTGGCAAGAATGCTCAATGGAAAGGAACAGTCCATGGAAGGAACCTTGGCTCAGAGACCCTAGGGAAGATGAAACCAGCTGACAGAAGCCTGGCCTGCATCTCCAGGGAAATTTAACTCAATCTTCTAAAGCTTGGAGAGGTTAGAAGAAAATACTTTGTAAGTTAAGAGAACCCTTTATTTTTAGGGTAAATTTTCTCTATGAGAACAAGACATTTTAAAAGCTGGAAGAGTCAGAGTAAGAAAAACTACAGTGGCCCCTATATCTAGACAGTAACAAAGAATCTGTGTATTTAATTAGCTGGTGTGCTGGGGCTAGAGCAAGATAGCTTAGAAAGGCAATTCCTGAAGGTCATATTTGGCCAGGGGTGATATTGAATTATAGCCACTGTTTGCTATTTTACTGGGAATCAGGAAACCTAAAATTATGGCTCTTCTGTTATTAGGGGCTGAATGTTTACGTCCCTTCAAATTCATCTGTGGAAGCACTAACCCCCAATGTGATGGTATTAAGAGGTGAGGCCTTTGGGTGGGGCCCCCATGATGGAATTAATGATTTTATAAGAAAATGAAAAGATAATCCTCTCTCTCTTTCTCTCCCTGTCTTCCTCCTTGCACATGCAACGAGGAGGGCCATGCAAATATGCCATGAGAAGACAGCTGTCTGCAGACCAAGAAGTGGGCCCTTGCCAAGAACCAAATCTGCCTGAGCCTTGATCTTGGACTTCCCAGCTTCCAGAACTGTGAGAAGTAAATGTCTGTTGTTTAAGCCACCCAGTCTGTGGTATTTTGTTACAGTAGTCCAAGCTGACTAAGACATACGTTAACTTCTGTGAGTTTGGGGGGCTCCATTCACCCTTGGTCTCAGTCTACTAATCTGCTATTAAGGGATTTTTTTTTTTTTTTTTTTTTTTACTAAACTCTAGAATCTCTTTCATTTATGATGTTCTCTAATCAGTCACCCTCAGCTCCCTCCACCCAGACCAGACAAACTTCAGGTTAGTTTGTAGGAGGGTGCTGGAGGTAAGGGAGCAGGGAGAAAAAGACAAGGAATTGTCTTCATTCCAGTGCACAGGTGTCTTCCATTAGCCTTTTTCCTACTATTAAGCCTCAAGAACAAGCAGAACCACATCACATTTTGAGGAAGCTTTTTCAAGGCCAAATAATGGGTAACATATTTGAACAGCGAAGAAAAATAGAAGAGATAGCCTGAGGGTGAGTTTCCTCTCAAATTAAAAATAAATAATAAAGAAGATTACAAAAAAAGAGAAAAAATTAACTTGGAATTCACAGAGAATGATTTCTGAAGGATAATGACTAACATATAATATTCTGTAAAGGCTTCATCCAAAATACACATTTATTCAGGCATTTAATAAATATTTGTTGAGCACCTAGAATATGATGGGCACAATTCTAGACACTAGATATATGATTTCATATATATGCTCATGAGGCTCACATAACACAAACCGAACATCTGATTTTCTATTCACTTATAAAAACAGTTTTTTTTTTACATTCCTTGAATCTTGAGATGAATGTGTTTAGTATGAGGCATCTAGTGAATTTAGCATAGACGTAATACCTGATGGGTAACACCTGATATAAAATGAAAACCCAGGAAAGTATGGGGCAGTTGCACTCTTCAAAAAACTAATGTTTTTAATAGATCAAGAATGCATCCAACATCTGATTAGGAGAATCATTCTTGGTGTCTGCCATAACACCCCTCAGACTACAGGAATCAAGTTGCAGAGAAAAGTACCAAGTAGGGTATTTCTGTTCCATTCAGTTCAGCGAATATTTTAAAACACCTTTTCTGGTGCTGTGAGTTTGAGAAAGGTACAAAAATTAGAGGGACAGCCAGAACCTTACAGATTAGCAGGAAAAGGTACATTTATAAATAATTAAACTCTTGGCAGAATATGCCAAATTCTACAAGAGATGCATATATAAACTGCTACGGGAGAAAAATTTTAAAAAATCTTATTTGGTTAAGGATGAACAAAGCTTCATGAAGTAAGTAACATCTGCATTGAGTTTTGCAGAATTTTTAGAATATCAAGGGGCAAAACAATGGTGATGTTGGGAAGCAAAAAAAAAATCAAGTTGATAACAGGATTTGGTGGACATTTATTTAGCATTTACACTAGTAAGAAATTGCGTAGGACTTTCTTTAAATCTCACAACATCCTCTTACAAAAGCTACATCATCAACTCTGTATCAATCAGGATCTAGCCAGGGAAACACAGTGCTTCCAATATTTATAACAAAGGACGTGTAAAGTAGGAAATGAAACCAGCACAAATATTACCCAAAGCAGAAATTTAACGGAGGACAAAATGGGAGAAGTGGGCTTAGAGGATCTGGGAGCCAGGGTCACATCTTCTAGGGTAATTAAATCACAGAGGAGGCTCAGCTACTCTGGAGATAGCCCCTTAGAAAGGGACAGGAAGAGGAGCCTCCTTGCTTCTCCTTTCCACACATGCTCCTGTCTCCTCCCAGGCTCCTCCTGGAAGCCAATTCCAGTTAGAAGGCAGCTGACCAGACCACCTGGGAATTTCCCACCTGTGGGATCGGGGGTGGACCTCTACAAGGTGAAACAGAGAAGGGGAAGGTCAGAAACATGCCTGTGGAAAAGGAGCACGAACCAGGGTTGACATAGACTCTCTTTACTGATTAAAAAAAAAAAAAAAAAAAAAATTCAAGTGCAGGAAGATGGAGATGACCTGACCCATATCACTCAGCAAATGGCAGAGCTAACATTTGGACTAAACACTAACTGTCTCTCTAATCTTTTCCAAATGTCACAGTTGCCAGTTTCATGAATGCACAGACTACTCATCTGTAGCAGACAGGTTTCTTTGGTGAAGGAATTTGAGGCCATTCCAAGGAATCGGAATTCACTTGTATCGCTCAGAAACTTGACGGAGGAATGGAAGCCATGAGTGGTGGAGCAAGAACATCATCATTCATGAAAGCTCTAGTGAATGTTAGTGAAGAGGGAAGGAAACTCATTCCACTCCACAGTTCCTCACATCCCCATCACACACTTTCCTGCTTTTGTTCACTGGACAAAACAAGAAGAATCTAGGTATAATGGTTCAAAAAGAGAGACAGGCAAGGGCCCTTGGGAGGGACTAGTAGAAAATGTCAGTGGGACCAAAATAGCATCCATCATCTCTCTATCCAGATACAATTAAGACTGGGCTACTTGATGCTGTTACATGTGTTGGCTAAATCTTTAAGGCCTTCTTCCCCTCCTGGGCAAATAATGACAACAGTGCTTTATACATTAGCAACACTTTGCTTGCTGAGACCTGAGCTTGGCCTGCAGATTCTTTAAACATTATTTTAGCAGAGGCCAGAGGTGAAGAGAGGGAGCCTAATTTGCAGGTGAAGACTACCAGGCACTGAGAGGTTAAATGACTTGCCCTGGGTTCCCACAGAGACCAAAGAAGGGGGAAACAAGGAGAGGGATTCAAATTTTTCCCTCTCTGGGCTCTATTCAGCCACTTTAGAAGACCTCATAACAGGAAAAACAGCACTCCCATGGAGAGCCTCCGCAGCCCCTCATTACAGCCTGGAGATCGAAGCTTATTAGCACTTCTCTGGGAGCACCTGCCCAGCACTAAGCAGGCAGGCTGGAGAAGTGCCCTGATCCTCCCTAACCCTTTCATCATTGGGTTTCACTTGATTTTCCACTTTCCCTTCTATAGATAATAAAATGTTCGAGTTAGGAAAACCTTAAGTATTGTCTACTTAAATAACAAGCAGAGAGAGACCCTCTAAAAGAAATTTATTTGGGAATACAGCATTGCAATGAAAATAACACATACCACAGTAAACTATGTTTATATTCAGGGAGATAAAAAAAATGCAAAGGTCTCTAAAAGAAAACTGAAGATGATTACATAATTGTTTTGAAATAATTATGTTTTGCTACAAAGATCAATAATAACAGTAATGCCAGTCCAAGTTTAGACAGGCAAATGCTGGGTAGATGTCCTCACAGATAGAGTTATTTGTATAAGTTGCAATGCCCTTTGTGCAAAAGTTGTGTTTTTTGTAGAGTCTTTTGTAATTGTTTCCATTATCAGGTATACAAGCCTGAGAAGCCTCTCTTTATGTCTTTGACTGGTTGTATTTGTCAAGGTTTTCTCCACATTAGTGACTGTATTTTGATTCTGTCAACTTCCGCAGCATCAGACTCCCTTACAGAGGAGAAAAAGCTATGGACTAGTGAAGGGATTGCTGGAGATCAAATGACTAATTAGTGGATTGTTGTTTATTCTCTTTGCCTGGAACACATCCAGGACAGATTAAGAAATGGCTCTGGGTGGGGTGGAAGGGGCATTCTGAATTGTAGCATTTGATGATTTCCATGGTAAACTCCCTAAAGAACAATTCAACCAAGGAGAGGTCAACCTGCTCACAAAATCCCTGGACATTTAACAACTGGCTCTCATGAGCCACTAAGAGCTAGCTCCAACATGCCACCAATTACCATTCTCCAAAGCCCCAAGTCTCATTTTCTGTAGGTTCAAACTCATAGCCTTTCTCAAGGTCCAGCTTAAATGCCGAGCAAGGTGCCTGGTTGGCCCTCACCAAGTAAATGTTCAAGAAATCAAATGCATGAAATGCCACTGGTTCAAAGGAACCCTGCCCATTCTTCACTGTTCTCCTTGATGGCAAGAATTAAGTTTTGCTTTGTATGACTTTAAAGCATATTTCTTTTGTGGAATTATTTTCTACTGTTTTATAGTTCTGTGTTATTCAACATTTACTCAACACTTACATATTTGGAACATATTTCATCTCCCAAGCTAGATACTAAACTTCTTGAGGTAGCAATCACAAATTACTCATCTTTGTATCCCTGAAGGATTTTTGGATATGCCTTGCACAAAATCCGCATACAATAAAAATTGAGTGAATGAATTCCGATGAATCAAGAATTGCCCTTGGCTGCTTATGGATTTAAGGTAACTCAATGCTTCTCTGCCAAAACTGGAAAACCTTGAAATGTTAATGACTTAGGCTATGATATATCCATAGGAGAAATGAATGCAAATTCCCTGTCTTGGTGAAATTGCACCCCTTTACCAGAGGAAGGTAGCAGAAGGTGCTTTTCTCTTATTAAGGACAGGCAGTCCTTGGGGGTTACTGTACGGTGAGAGGTACCTGTATGGCTGCTATTCTCCTGCTCTGGTGTCTGCTATATTTCTTTCTTTGTCTTTTTTAATGCCTCCCCACCTTGGCTACTCCCCACTTCTGAGTCTGATGACCAGATGGCATCATAATAAAAGCAAGCAACAGTTTATAGCAGACATCAGTCAGAACATGGGTTCCAATGCTTCTGGCCCAGGAAGTGAGACCAGGGCTCTGGCTGGAACAGACATGTGAAAATTTAAGGTTTTCTAAGCAAATAGTAAGATATTATAAAAACACTTTTCCACTAACATTTTCAAAATTAGTGTGTTCAATATGAAGTATATTCATTAACATTTTGGACATTATTTTTAGATAAGGAGAATTAAAAGAATAATGATGTTATGTTTCCAAAAATGTTAAATATTAAGTGATTATAAGTGAACTATTGTCTGCAGAGAGGCAAACCAATACAGTACAATTGATATCAAAAGGTTTCTGCCAGCACAGTTTGATCTCTGAATGTTCAAGTAAATTATTTTTATGTTTAAAATAGAACCTATTAGGGTTGTATTCATTCTTCTTGGTTTTGATTAACTTCTATATGATTTTTTCCTTAGAAAATTCTTTCTTTGAAGTAATGGTATACAGCTTTTTTTTGCTTATTTTTTAACATTGTCTCTCTTTATATCATATAGTGTAATATAAAGTCTCCATTTAATCTCTCTAGTTTATCTTATTTCAAATTCTATAGAAGCAGCACTTCAGGGGGTTGGAAATATTCTACCATGGAATTCCTTATGTCTACATACTTTCGCATTTAAGAATATGTCATCAGGCCGAGGCGGGTGGATCATGAGGTCAGGAGATCGAGACCATCCTGGCTAACAAGGTGAAACCCCGTCTCTACTAAAAATACAAAAAATTAGCCGGGCCTGGTGGCGGGCGCCTGTAGTCCCAGCTACTCGGGAGGCTGAGGCAGGAGAATGGCGTGAACCCAGGAAGCGGAGCTTGCAGTGAGCCGAGATTGCGCCACTGCAGTCCGCAGTCCGACCTAGGCGACAGAGCGAGACTCCGTCTCAAAAAAAAAAAAAAGAATATGTCATCAAACTGCATTTGCTGCATCTTTGACAGTGGGTGTTCCATTTTTACCTATCACTTGTTATTTCACAGAGTCATATCAACACTAAATGCAAGGCTGTGATATGGAAACAGAAGGTGTTTGAACATTTGAAACCTTTGGTGGGATTGATGATGGTACT
The DNA here is from genome assembly GCF_000001405.40 of Homo sapiens. Classification (NCBI taxonomy): domain Eukaryota; kingdom Metazoa; phylum Chordata; class Mammalia; order Primates; family Hominidae; genus Homo; species Homo sapiens. The sequence goes on along the minus strand of NC_000018.10, from coordinate 51,985,589 downwards.
GACATCAATGCTGTATGGGTGAGAAAAAGCAGAGAGTACATGCAGAGACTCGGTGGTGCAAAAGACAATTTTAAAAAATGTGTCTGTATGTATCTCTCAAACCCATGGCTTTGATGAGAGCATTCATAAGAGCAATAACAGCAAATAATGCATGGATGCTTCTTGCATTCAAGGGACATAGACATATGTTGAAAGACTTAAAGTGAGTTTGATTTCTGGGTTACTTAAATTGCTTAAATGTCTTAAGTGAAATGATGCTGATATTATCCCTTGTCAATGTTCTGAATGCTGGATAATATTATCTTGTTTTTGAAACATAAATGGGATAAGGTGAACTGATGCTGAGGGAGAGTTATGGCTGACAACATTGCCTGGGTTTGTGGTAGTTTTGAAGCCGAGTTCACCAATGAGCACAGCATGTGTCTCAGAGATGCGAGGACCTTCTAATGACTATAACATCTACAAGAATGCTAATTGTGGCAAGTCTGAGACCTGGACTTGGATAATTTTATGTAGTTAATATTAAAAATTCTTCAATAAAATTTTAATTTCTTTTTTAAAAAAGAAATAATTTAATTGGTCTCACTTTCGTTTTATATTAGAAGGTGATATGGTTTGGCTCTATCTGTGTCTCCACCCAAATCTTATGTCAAATTGTAATTTCCAATGTTGGAGGTGGACCTGGTGGGAGGTAATTGGATCATGGGGACAGTTTCTCAGGGATTAACACCATCCCCCTTGGTGTTGTCATGGTGAGAGTGAGTTATCTTGAAATCTGGTTGTTTAAAAGTATGTAACATCTCCCCGCCCTGTCTCTTGCTCCTGCTCTGACCATGTAAGACCTCCCTGCTTCCCCTTTGCCTTCAGAAGTGATTGAAAGTTTCCTGAGGCCACCCCAGCCAAGATTCTCACACAGCCTGTGGGACTGAGAGCCAATTAAACCTCTTTTCTTAATAAATTACCTAATCTCAGGCATATAGCAATGCGAGAACAGACTAATACAGAACCTGAGATTCAGGGAAGTCACTCAATGTCTCTCAATGGTAAGTAGCAGAAATAGGACTAGAACTCAAGTCACTAGGAACTCCATATTAGCAGTCGCCTGAACACTCTCCCTTCCATTCTTTATATACAGGATGTCTGTTATATTTTTTCTGCTTCCTCTACAGTCTCCCCAACTTCTTTACTTTGAAACCATCCCTTCATGGGTCCATGTGCTTCTGTTGGGTCTGCCAATTAAGGATTCTTGCTTAGTTGAAAGCCACAGTGAAGGCACATAGCATGGGCTGGCTAATCAAAATACCCCATCACCCTGGGCATGGCAACTAGACCTTAAATGGGCATATAGCCCAATGGGACTAACCGGTTATTTTAAAGGGATTGATATTCATAATGAAGGAGAGAGTGGACTTTATTGCTATGGTTTGAATGTTTGTCTCCTCCAAAACTCAAGTTGAAAACTGCCATTATAACAGTATTAGAGGTGAGACTTTTAAGAGGTGATTAGGCCATGAAGGCTCCACCCTCATGGGTGGGAGTGGTTACAATTATATAAGAGTAAGTTTAGTCTCCTCTTTCCCTCCCTCTTGTTCTCTTGACTTCCACCATGTGATAACACAGCAAGAGGCCCCCACTAGTTGCTGGCACCTTGATATTGAACTTCCCAGCCTCCAGAACTGTGAACTAATAAATTTGTGTTCGCTATAAATTATCCAGTATCAGGTATTCTATTATAGCAGTACAAAACAGACTAAGATACTTGTCTTCTGAAATTGTTTCCTGTAACTACTATATAACCTAGAACTTCCTGGCACCATTTTTCTACTCTGCAGAGATCTTTCTGAGTATGAAGGCAACACAAAGGAAATTAAACCGAGAGAAGATTTAAGGAATCTGAAGATATCAGTTGAATCTCTGCAACCAGCTACATCTAAATCTGGTAAGTCTTAAACTGCTAGGTTATTGGAGCTAAAAATGTTCCTGCATTGCTCAAACTAGTTTGCTACTTTCTACCAAATTATTTCAATTTTTATATCACCTCTGCATTGAACACCTCTTGTGCCCTGCTTCATATCTTCTGTGCCAAGGCTTTATGCGGCTGTGCCCATCAGTTCCAGGCAGGTAAAAACTGAAAGCATCTGAAGAGCATTGCTTCAATTACACTATGGATCTATCATCTTCTGTCCTGAGATTCTCTAACTCTCACAGAGCATTTGGGAACAACAATGCATGAATCTAGAGAAACATGGAGTTCCATCCCACGGGGCAAATCTTGAGCAATGGAGAACTGGAGCTGGTGGGGAAATACTTCCCATTGCCAACCCTCAAGCAGTCAATTCAGAGGCATATTCTTCAAAATTCCTCAGAAGCCTTAGAGAAGTCTAGCTCCAGCTGCCCACTGAGGGACAGCTAGACAGTATCCCCCATGTTGGTTCTCCTCCTTCCATAGCAGTACTTCCCAAAGTAAACTCCCTTGGTTCAGGCTGTGCTTCAGAATCTTCTTAGAGAAACACAGACCACACGACCCTAGTGGTATTGAATAGGTTTCATCATCCCCTTCATGGGACTCCCTCTTCTTTTCACTTTTGGAATATTATTATTCTCTAGTTTTACTTATACCTGTCTGGCTGCTCCTTTAGCATTTCATTCATAGGCTTCTCTTCCTCCATTTGGCCTTTAAATGCCAGTGTTGCCCAGGACCCTGTACTCAGTCACCTGCACTCTAGAGCTCATCCACACTGATGGCTTTCCCAGCCACTCACAACCATTCCTACATCTCCATCCCCAATGTAGGACCATATGAATGAATAAGTAAATATGTCTCCTAATTCTCAGAAGAAAGAACAGATCAGACTATGATCTGTTTATGTTTTGCATTAATTTGGTGCCCACCACTGAACTAGTAATAGAAATGCTAGCCAGTTAGATGAATATATGTCATTAATCTTGTTTACTTGACACACTATACCTTAAGGTGACCGTATATGACTGTATGCTGCACAATTGCGTACATTTCTGAAGAGATTTGAGAGCCCACTCCCTTCTCTACAAATATCAATTTATTTTTAGAAAGTTAAGAATTTTTATAGTGCCCTCTAGGAACTATAAAAGGACAAAGACTTTTAAGAATCATTCTTAGTGGGAATTGCACTTGTATTTCCTTGGTGAAGGAAGTTGGAAATTTGAGAGAGGGGAAGAACTTGTGTTGAAATTTTTGCTGATGTACTTGTTAGTACCACCTGCTTAACCCCTGCTGTCTCTCTGAGACACTGGACAGGTGTAAGTTTTGGTTCTTGATCAATTTGCAAAGCCCCTGGATGCTGGAGTCTTGGAATTCCTGCAAGTTATATACAACATAATAGAAATTAAGTTCAAAATTCTGAACACCTGAAAGAGAATTATGAGTGTCTAGAAGAGCTTATTTAAGCCCACAGTGTAGTTCTCTTCAATAACCTATAAATATAGAGCCCCGCCCACCAACTGTGTTCTCCCCAGCTCAGCACACCTCCAGACCCCCAGGATCTTTGCCTCAGGGAAGAAAATGAACTGTAGACCAACTGAGCAGCCAGTGCCTCAGACACTGGTAAGGTGTGTGTTTATGCATCCTGCCAACAGGTCTTTTTTTCCTGCTCCCAAAGTGCTAGTTCCTGAACTCGATCACATTATAAGCAATTGCTGTCTGCATAATGCAAATCCATACCATGTTCTCTAATTAATCTATTGTGTTCTATCCAATTTGCATTATAAAATATAGGTGCAATGCCTATAATTGCCTTTCTTCATGGATAGGCTTATTATAAACCTGCTTTAGACAAAAGATGCCCTGAGTAAGAAGAAGCAGTCACAAACTTCCAGTCACATTCTTTGGGCCGCTTCTCCTCTGGCTGTTTAGAAGTTAACAGATTCCTGGGTCCTAAGTTAAACTCTCTCTAGCCAAATGTCTGTCTCCTCAGTACTGAGCAAGTAAGCGCAAAGCAGTGGGGAGTCTATTGGAACTGACTACACTTGGATGCTCCAACTTCCCTTCCTGGTGCCTGTAATTGAATTTGGAGAGAGGATATGATTCGGACTCATAATAAAGCATGCATTTAACTGATGTAGATCTCACAGAAGCATCCGGTGAACAAGAAACAGGTGATCTCAAATGGTTTTACTTTGGGTTTCATTTCACACAGCATGTATCTAAAGACTACTATGTACTCCGTTTTATCACCTAAAAGTGGGATCCATGATAGTTTTGTCTAGGAAAGCTTGGTTCTTTCCTTCTAGAGTCAAAACAACCAGAGTGAATAAAGTGGCCCAGTGAACAGTTCTATAATTTTCATTTCTGTGATCATCAAGGTAATTCTCACCAACTGTCAAGCACAGGCCAGTTACCCAGATGCAGTAGACACTCTCCCTTGCCCCTGTCTTTGCAGTCCTCTAATACAGGACCCAGGCTGCTCTCATCAGCCCAACCAGGGCCACTTTCCCAAGATCCGATGGATGTTGTCTAATGTTGAGGGCTCTTAGATCCACTTGACAGAACTGGCAAGGGAGTTTGCAGATGAACATGCTAGACCATGCCACCTATCTCTGCCTGTTGCCTCCTAGAATCACAGTCCCACTCAGGTCTTCTTAGGGTAAGAGTAATCACCCCCATTTGTTCATTGTGATGTTGTCTCCAGCCATAGCCATTATTTTCTTTCTTTTCTGCATGCAAGCTTCCCAGATCACCTTTGCCAAGTGATCAAGTTTTGTTGCTGTCTTGCTCCAAAGAGTTTTTTTAAGATGGTTTTTACAATTTTTTGAACTGATATTTTTGAAATCCTGGTAGCTCAACTTGATGAGAAATAATTTAGAAAGCAGTGATTACAAGTGTAATTGCAAATATAAGTGGACCTTCCAGGGAGGATTTCAAACAGTGAGCCAAGAACAGAATTGGGAAGAGGACTGAAGCACAAAGCAATTGTCTCTGCTAAAATTCTGCAGGCTGGAAGCCCTTACGCTTGCAACCATTCAACAGTCAATAAAGGAGCAAGTTTTCTTTGTCTATGATTTTTAAAGGATAATCATTGGTACAAGGAATAGAATGAACAAGACACAGCCCCTTCCCTTAAAGACCTTATAGATGAGTCAGACAATCTCTAGAAATAAAGATCAGGCTAATGGGAAACCTGTTGCTTGTAAGAAACCTGAATAGAAAATATTAAGGCAGTGGAGGAACTGATGTGTGGAGGAGGTAAGCAAGAGGCAGAATTTCAGCTGTGCCGCAACCCTCATTGAGTTCTGGTGACACAAATGCCTCTCATTCCAATTACTATGTCACAGACACCTCTGCTTTTCAAACTAGAAATGGAGGAGCCCTCTCAGGGGAACAGACAGCGATGTGCCAAGGGTGTTTGAAGCCAAGGAATATCTTCCTGTAGCATCTGCTTTATACAAAGATTTTAGGTAGAAACGTGTACATTTACAGGCATTACTGAGTAGGAGGGAAAATTCTCTTATATTTTAAAACAAAAGATAAACCCTCAGAGAAATCTTGTGCTTGTTTTCAGAAGATTGTCTGAGACTTTGCCCTGAAGCTACAAGTTACTGCCATCTGCCCTTATAAGTCTAGCAGTTAGAAGGTTTGGGGAGCACTCTGCAGAAAAGCTCCACCGAATGGCTATATAGACAGGTAGCCAGTTTTCTTGCCCACCTCTAGAGAGGTATCTGCTTCTTGGAGAAAGACTTTAAAGCCAGAAATTTCAAGTTCAGACTTATATGGACCATGAGCTTCTCCTCAATGTTTCCAAGTATGGCTGATCATAACTGAACATTTACAACCTTTTCTTTCCACTGTATTTTTTTAATTTCAACTTTTATTCTAGATACAGGGAGTACATGTGCAGCTTTGTTACATGAAGATATTACAAGATGCTGAGATTTGTAGTATGGATCCTGTCACCCTGGCAGTGAGCATAGTACCTGATAGGTAGTTTTTAAATTCAGCCCTCCACCCTCTAGTAGTCCACAATATTTATTGTTCTCGTATTTATGTCTGTGTGTGCTCACAGCTTAGCTCCCACTTATAAGTGAAAACATGCAGTACTTGGCTTTCTGTTCCTGCATTAATTTGCTTAGGATTATGGCCTCCATTTCCATCCATGTTGCTGCAAATGACATGCTTTCATTCTTCTTTTGGTGGCACGATTTCCATGGTATATACACACCACATTTTCTTTATCTAATCTACCACTGATGGGCACCTGGGTTGCTTCCTTGTCTTTACTGTTGTGAATAGCACAGCAGTGAATATAAAATTGCTGTGTCTTTTTGGTAGACTGATTTATTTTCTTTTGGGTATATACCCAGTAATGGGATTTTCTGGGTCGAACGGCAGCCCTTTGAGAAATCTATAGACTAATTTCCACAGTGTCTGGATTCATTTGCATTCCCACCAACATTGTATAAGTGTCTCCTTTTCTCTGCAGCCTCACCAGCATTTGCTTTTTGACATTTTAATAATAGCCATGATGATTGGAGTGACACGGTATCACACTGTGGTTTTAATTTGCACTTCTTTAATAATTAATGATGTTGAGCATTTTTTTCATATGCTACTGGCTGCATGTATGTATGTCTTCTTTTGAGAGGTTTCTGTTCATGTCCTTTGCCCATTTTTTAATAGGGTTATTTGTTTTTCATTTGTTGATTTAAGTTCCCTATAGATTCTAGATATTAGGGCTTTGTCTGATGCATAGTTTGTGACTATCTTCTTCCATTCTCTAGGTTGTCTGTTTGCTTTAAATTATGATAATTTCTTTCCCTTAAACACAAGAGATTCTGGGGAGCCTTTCTCACAGTTTTGGAAGTTGGTGAAAAGTTCTTCTAATACATATTTGTTATATATTGTTTTAGTTTAGAATAGTTTTAGATTTACTGAAAAGTTGTGAAGATAGTACAGAGTTCTCATATATCCGCATTGCTTCCCCAATTGTAAACATTTTACAAAACTATGGTACATTTGTCACAATTAATGAACTGATATTGATACATTAACTAGGATCAATACTTCATTCAGAATTTCTTAGTTTTTCCCTAATGTCCTTTTTCTGTTCCAGTATCCCACTCAGGTTTTCATATTAAATATAGTCATTGTGTCTCCTTAGCCTCCTCTTGGCTGTGACAGTTTCTCAGACTTTGGATGTTTTTAATATCCTAGACAATTTTGAAAAGTATTGGTCAGTATTTTGTAGAATGTCCTGCAATTGCTATTTGTCTGATGTATTTTTATGATTAGCCTGAGGTTATGAGTTTTGGGGAGGAACACCACAGAAGTAAAGTACAATTCTTATCACATTACTGCACAAGAGGAGTACACACTGTCAATATGCCTTATTATAGTTGATGTGAGCCTTGATCACCTAGTTGAGGTTGTGTTCATCTGGTTTCTCCACTATGGAGTTACCCTCTTCTCCCACTTTATATACTCTAATCCTTGGAAGAGAATCACTATGTACATCCCACATTTAAAGAGTGAGAGTTTTACTATGTCTCCTTAAGGATGGAGTATCTACATATATCATTTGAAATTTTTCTGCATAGGGAATTTACCACTTCTTCCACATTTATTTCTTCAATCATTTATTTATATTAATATGGACTTGGATATTTATTTTATACTATGGATTATAATTTTCTACTATTGGTTACAATTAGCTACTATTATATTTCTTTTTTGCTCAAATGTTTTCCAGCATTGGCCACTGTGAGATATTGCAGTTGGTTCCTGTGTGTGTTACTTGTTTAATATATCTCAGTCATTGCAGGATTTTTTTTTATTGTTGTTATTTGGTTTTTTTGTGCACTTTCTGGCTCTACACAATGCTTCAGGCTCCCCTTTGTGTGTGTGTGGTAATGTCTTTCCCCCAGCTTTATTGAGGTGTGATTAACATATAAAATTGTATAAATGTAAGGTGTACAATGTATGATTTAAGTATATTGTGAAATGATTACAACAATCAAGTGAGTTAACACATCTACCACCTCAGTTACTTTTTTAGTTGGTATGGTGAGATCGTTTAAGATCTACTCTTAGCAAATTTTAAGTATACAATCTTGTTAATTATAGTTGCCATGCTGTATGTTAGTCCTAAAGTTGTGAAATGTTATTTCATTGTGGTTTTGATTTTCAATTGCCTGATGATTAGTGATGTTGAGCACCTTTTGATGTACCTGTTGGCCATTTGTATGTATTCTTTTGGAAAATGTTTATTCAGGTCCTTTGCTCATTTTTAAATCAGATTGGATTTTTGCTATTGTATTACATGAATTCTTAAATACAGTTATACACTGCATAAGGATATTTCAGTCAATGACAGACCCAATATAAAATTATGGCTCCATAAGATTATTATACTATCATGTTTTTACTGTACAATTTCTATATTAAGATATGTTTGGATACACAAATGCCTACCATTATGTTACAATCACCTGCAGGATTCAACACATTAACATGCTGTAAATGTTTGTAGCTTGGGAGCAATAGGCCATACCATATAGCCTATGTGTATAGTAGGCTACACCAACTAGGTTTGTGTAAGTACACTTCGTACAATAACAAAATCACCTAAGGATGCACTTCTCAAAACGTATCCTCATCCTTAAGCAACACATGACTGCATTCTTGATATTAACCCCTTATCAGATAGATTGTTTGCAAATACTTTTCCCTTCCATAGGTTACCTTTTCATTTTGTTGATTGTTTTCTTTGCTGTACAGAAGTTTTTAGTTTGATGTAGTTCCACTTATTTTTGCTTTTGTTGCTTGTGCTTTTGGTGACATATCCAAAAAAATTGTTGTCGAAACCAATGTCAAGAAGCTTTTTCCCTACATTTTCTTCTAGGAGTTTTTACCATTTTAGTTCTTACATTCAAATCTTTAATCCATTTCTAGATAATTTTTGTAAATGATGTAAGATAGGTGTCCAATTTCATTATTTTGCATGTGAATATCCATATTTATTGAAGAAACTATACTTTGCCCATTGTTTATTCTTGGCACCCTTGTCAAATATTAGGTGAACATGTATATCTGGGTTTAGTTTGGGGCTCTTGATTCTGTTCCATTGGTTTGTATGTCTGTTTTTATGCTGATATCATATTGTTCTGATTATAGCTGCTTTGTCATATGGTTTGAAATGAGGAAGTGTGATGCATTCAGCTTTGTTCTTTTTTTTCCTCAAGATTGCTTTGGCAATTCAGATTCTTTTATAGTTCCATATGAATTGTGTGAAAAATGCCTTTGGAGTTTTGATAGGAATTACATTAAATCTACAAATTGCTTTGGGTATTATGGACAATTTATCAAGGCTAATTCTTCCAATCCATACCCATAGGATAACTTTATTTGCATCTTCAATTTCTTTCATCAATGTCCTATTGTTTTGCATATACAGATCTTTTACCTACTTGCTTCAATTTATTCCTAAGTATTTTATAGTTTTTGATGTTATTGTAAATAGGATTGTGCTTTTTCTTTTTCAGATAGTTCATTGTTAATGTATAGAAATGCAACTGATTTTACATGTTATCTCTTTTTTTATTTCCAGAGTTTTGGGGGAACAGGTGGTGTTTGGTTTCATGAGTAAGCTCTTCAGCAGTGATTTGTGAGATTTTGATGCACCCATCATCCGAGCAGTATACACTGTACCCAATTTGCAGTCTTTTATCTCTCATCCCTGTCCCACCCTTTCCCCCAAGTCCCCAAAGTCCATTATATCATTCTTATGCTTTTACATCCTCATAGCTTAGCTCCCACTTATGAGTGAGAACATACAATGTTTGATTTTTTAATTCCTGAATTACATCACTTAGAATAATGGTCTCCAATTCCATCCAGGTTGCTGAAAATGCCATTATTTTGCTCCTTTTTATGGCTCAATAGTATTCTATAGTAGATATATACCACAATTTATTTATTCGCTCATTGATTGATGGGCATTTGGGCTGGTTCCATGTTTTTGCAATTGTGAATTGTGCTGCCCTAAACATGAGTGTGCAAGTATCTTTTTTCCTATAATGACTTCTTTTCCTCTGGGTAGATACCAAGTGGTGGGATTGCTGGATCAAATGGTAGTTCTACTTTTAGTTCTTTAAGGAATCTTCACACTGTTTTTCACAGTTGTTGTATTAGTTTACATTCCCACCAGCAGTTTAAACATGTTCCCTTTTTACCACATCCATGCCAACATCTATTAGTTTTTGATTTTTTTATTATGGCCGTTCTTGCAGGAGTAAGGTGGTATTGCATTGTGGTTTTGATTTACATCTCTCTGATTATTCGCATGGTACTGGTATACAAATGGGCACATAGACCAATGGAACAGAATAGAGAATCCAGAAATAAAGCCAAACACTTACAGCCAACTGATCTTTGACAAAGCAAACAAAACCATAAAGTGGGAAAAGGACACCCTATTAAATAAATGGTGCTGGGATAATTGGCAAGCCACATGTAGAGGAATGAAACTGGATTCTCATCTCTCACATTATACAAAAATAAACTCAAGACTTAAATCTAAGACCTGAAACCATAAAAATTCTAGAAGATAACATTGGAAAACCCCTTCTAGTAATTGGTTTAGGCAAAGACTTCATGACCAAGAACCCAGAAGCAAATGCAACAAAAACAATTATATATAGGTAGGACTTAATTAAACTAACAAATTTCTGCACAGCAAAAGAAATGATCAGCAAACAGGCAACCCACAGAGTGGGAGAAAATCTTCACAATCTATACATCCAATAAAGGACTAATATCCAGAATCTACAAAGAACTCAAACAAATTAGCAGAAAATACCAAACAATCCCATTAAAAAATGGGCTAAGGTCATGAATAGACAATTCTTAAAAAAGATATACAAATGGCCAACAAACATGAAAAATGATTTTATGTGTTAATTTTCTATCCTGCAACTTTACTGAATTTATTCAATAGTTCTAGCCGTTTTGCAAGGGAGTCTTTAGGGTTTTCTATATATAAGACCATGTCATCTGCAAACAGATCTGGGCAGTGTGTGCATTGCTACTGGGGTGCAATTACTACTAGGCCCCCTCAGCTGACAGTGGCAAATGTGTAAACTAGTCCTGTATATAAGCATATCCATATATATTTATATATGTAATCATTTGTATCTGTATTAAGCAAAATATGAGTTCATACTGATGTCTTCATCTCTAATCCATTACCACAAATATTATTCTAGCTCTCTCCCATTGCTCATCCATGAGTTTCCACTTCAACAGTGAGAAATCTGTTTCCTACCTCTGTCATCCATATAATTAATTATTCAATTCCAGTATACATGGATAGTGATTTCAAAATTGCTAACCCATGCACCCATGAGAAATAACTATCAATGAGAGAACCAGGTTAAATATGATTCTTTTTGCCTTAAGTCTTACAGTCTCTACTCATTTCCAAAGTTACTTAGATCAGCACTGTTTTCCCAACATACTTAAGTTATTTAGTATATTTGCAATATAGTTATTTTGTCAAAGTCTGAATTCCTTCTTGAGATCACTCAATTTCCTAAATGATAATTAAAATTTCCATAAAATAAGATTCATTTTTTGTTCTGTAAGGTTCTATGGGTTTTGACAAATGCATAATTTTATTTACCCACCATTGCAGCATCACAGAATCATTTCACTACCCTAAACAAAATCCCAAGCTTCCATCTACTCAATCCTCCTCCCTGCTCACACTTCTGACAACCACTGATCTCTTTGCTATCTCCATAGCTTTTTCCAGAATTCCGTATAATCATAATCATACAACATATTGTCTTTTCAGAGTGGTTTATTTTACTTTGCAGTGTACATTTAAGATTCATTCTCTATGGTATTCTTTTGAAGGTATGTAAAAGTTTATTCATCTATTGGAGGACATCTTGGTTGCTTCCAGTTTTTGATGATTACAAATAATTATATGGTACTCTTAAAATTTTTTAAATTTCAAATTCCAAATGACCTATCTTCAGGCCCACTAATTCTAGCTTGGCCTGGTGTACTAATGAGTCCATCAAAGGCACTCCTTATTTCTGTTAGTGTTTATTCCTAGAATTTCCTTTTGATTCTTAGAATTTCTACTTAGGTTGGAAATTTTTATTTCTCTGCTCCTATTACCCATCTGTTTCTTCATGTTGTCTACTCTTTCCATTACAGCCCTTAACATTATTATTTTAAATTTCCTGTCATATCATTCCGACATCTGTGTTATACTTAAATTTGATTGATACTTACTTCATCTCTTCAGATTGTGCTTTTTCTTGCCTTTTAGAATAGATTGAATTTTTTTTGTTGAAAGTTGGACGTATTGTATAAGACAGGAAATTAGGTAAATAGGCCTTCAGTGTGAGGATCTATCTTAATCTAGGTAGAAATTGGTCTGTGTTTGTTTGTTGTAATTACACTTACCAGACTTTAAGTTCCAGTGTGTTTGCTTTTGTGTTTCTTAAACTTGGGGCTTTCCCATACCTTTCTCCTTGGAGACAGTCTATATCTTGGAGCTCTTCCAGCTATATTGCATATTATATTGGACCCTTATTGGTGTGGTGGTTAGGGGTGGAAGTTGGGGAAGTCTTTTGGCCAAGAATCGGTCTTTTAATAGGCCTGTTTCAGGGCTGTGACCATATGTGTTAGTATTCCTCCTTCAGTGATATAGCTTTTTCCCTCACCCTTATACCTACTCTTTTCTCTGCCGGCAGTACTGTAGACCTATTGCCTTAAAGCCCAGTCTCACCTAGTCTCTACCCAAGAAGGCTAGAGGGGAGCTGGAGTTGAAAAGAATCCCTTTCTCCAGTTCCTCCTCACGGAAACCTGGCAGGGTTCCTGGAGGAGGACCCAGGACAGTGGGAGGGGGGCTGCAGAAGTTTCTTACTCTTATGTTACTTCACATTCAGCCCCTAGCTATTCATCAAAATTATTTACATGTTCTCACTAGGTTATAGCTCCAATGGCTTTGTCTTCAGATAAACAGATCTCAGCTGGGACTGTCTGGATTCATCTGTATTTCAGGATTTCAGGATGACAGCTTCCCCTGTGATCTCAGTTCTCCAATGGGTCTAAGAGAAGACATTGATTTTTTTTTTTCAGTTTTTGCAGCTTTTTGTTATTGTAAGGATGGGAACAACAACTTCCAAGCTCTTTGCATGTCACTGCTAAAACCAGAAATGTTTATATTTTGGTAATTTTTGTTATGCTCTGTGCTACTGATACCTTAGCCTTCCTTGCCAAGTGATGCAATATTGTATTTGGTTTAGTAAAAGCATATTGTGTTAACACTGCGTCAGTAGGCTTGTGCTCTAGGCTTTTCTTATGATAGTGCTCCTCAGTCTCCATTTTCAAAATGAATTAACAACACAGAAAATATGAAATGTTTCATGAGGATTGGAGGAAGTCAAAAGTTTCATATATTGCTAGTGGGAGATTGAATCATCCCCTTTTGATAACTGTTTGGGGTAGCTTATTCTAAATTCAAACACATGTACATAGTCCATCACGACATAGTGACTTTCCTCCTAGGTATGTACCCCTAAAAAATGTAAAAAAAAAAATTCCTAGCAATACTATTTATAATAACGATAAACTGGAAACAATCCAAATGTCACTAGAATGGATACATAAATATGGTTTATTCACACAATGGAATGCAGCATTGAGGATTAGGGATAAATCTCACAAACATGAAGTGAAAGAAGTCAAACACAGAAAAAGTACATACTGCATGGTTTTATTTGTTTGTAGCTTAAGAACAGTCAAAACTAAGCTATGGCATGAAGAGCCAGGAATGTGACTACCTGGTATGTTGAAGGTTTTAGTGATTAGCTGAGCATAAAGAAGGACACATGGGAAGCTAGTAATGATATGCTCCTTGAGCTGTTGACATGGAATATTCAATATGTGAAAAACCATCGAACTATGCACTTATGTGAATTTTTTTTGTATACATGTTATGCTTCACTAAAAACTTTGAAGAAACATGGGCAATAAAGATTTATTTTGCAATCTTGCTTGATTCTTGTAGATTCTGGTGGCAATGTATGTGAAAATGCTTTGAAAAATCAAAATGCCCAGGAGAACTTCCCCAATCTAGCAAGGCAGGCCAACATTCAAATTCAGGAAATACAGAGAATGCCACAAAGATACTCCTCAAGAAGAGCAACTCCAAGAATCATAATTGTCAGATTCACCAAAGTTGAAATGAAGGAAAAAATGTTAAGGGCAGCCAGAGAGAAAGGTCAGGTTAGCCACAAAGGGAAGCCCATCAGACTAACAGCGGATCTCTCGGCAGAAACTCTACAAGCCAGAAGAGAGTGGGGGCCAATATTCAACATTCTTAAAGAAAAGAATTTTCAACCCAGAATTTCATATCCAGCCAAACTAAACTTCTTAAGTGAAGGAGAAATAAAATCCTTTACAGACAAGCAAATGCTGAGAGATTTTGTCACCACCAGGCCTGCCCTAAAGGAGCTCCTAAAGGAAGCACTAAACATGGAAAGGAAAAACTGGTACCAGCCACTGCAAAAACATGCCAAATTGTAAAGACCACTGAGGCTAGGAAGAAACTGCATCAACTAACGAGCAAAATAACCAGCTAACATCATAATGACAGGATCAAATTCACACATAACAATATTAACCTTAAATGTAAATGGGCTAAATGCTCCAATTAAAAGACACAGACTGGCAAATTGGATAAAGAGTCAAGACCCATCAGTGTGCTGTATTCAGGAAACCCATCTCATGTGCAGAGACACACATAGGCTCAAAATAAAGGGATGGAGGAAGATCTACCAAGCAAATGGAAAACAAAAAAAGGCAGGGGTTGCAATCCTAGTCTCGGATAAAACAGACTTTAAACCAACAAGGATCAAAAGAGACAAAGAAGGCCATTACATAAAGTAAAGGGATCAATTCAACAAGAAGAACTAACTATCCTACATATATATGCACCCAATACAGGAGCACCCAGATTCATAAAGCAAGTCCTTAGAGACCTACAAAGAGACTTAGACTCCCACACAATAATAATGGGAGACTTTAACACCCCACTGTCAACATTAGACACATCAACAAGACAGAAAGTTAACAAGGATATCCAGGAATTGAACTCAGCTCTGCACCAAGCGGACCTAATAGACATCTACAGAACTCTCCACCCCAAATCAACAGAATATACATTCTTCTCAGCACCACACCACACCTATTCCAAAACTGACCACGTAGTTGGAAGTAAAGCACTCCTCAGCAAATGTAAAAGAACAGAAATTATAACAAACTGTCTCTCAGACCACAAGGCGATCAAACTAGAACTCAGGATTAAGAAACTCACTCAAAACTGCTCAACTACATGGAAACTGAACAACTTGCTCCTGAATGACTACTGGGTATATAACGAAATGAAGGCAGAAATAAAGATGTTCTTTGAAACCAACGAGAACAAAGACACAACATACCAGAATCTCTGGGACACATTCAAAGCAGTGTGTAGAGGGAAATTTATAGCACTAAATGCCCACCAGAGAAAGCAGAAAAGATCTAAAATTGACACCCTAACATCACAATTAAAAGAACTAGAGAAGCAAGAGCAAACACATTCAAAAGCTAGCAGAAGGCAAGGAATAGCTAAGATCAGAGCAGAACTGAAGGAAATAGAGAAATAAAAAATCCCTTCAAAAAATCAATGAATCCAGGAGCTGTTTTTTTTTGAAAAGATCAACAAAATTGATAGACCGCTAGCAAGACTAATAAAGAAGAAAAGAGAGAAGTATCAAATACATGCAATAAAAAATGATAAAGGGGATATCACCACTGATCCCACAAAAATACAAACTACCGTCAGAGAATACTATAAACACCTCTATGCAAATAAACTAGAAAATCTAGAAGAAATGGATAAATTCCTCAACACATACACCCTCCCAAGATTAAACCAGGAAGAAGTTGAATCTCTGAATAGACCAATAACAGGCTCTGAAATTGAGGCAATAATTAATAGCTTACCAACGAAAAAACGTCCAGGAACAGATGGATTCACAGCTGAATTCTACCACAGGTACAAGGAAGAGCTGGTACCATTCCTTCTGAAACTATTCCAATCAATAGAAAAAGAGGGAATCCTCCCTAACTCATTTTATGAGGCCAGCATCATCCTGATACCAAAGCCTGGCAGAGACACAGCAAAAAAAGAGAATTTTAGACCAATATCCTTGATGAACATCAATGCAAAAATCCTCAGTAAAATACTGGCAAACTGAATCCAGCAGCACATCAAAAAGCTGATCCACCATGATCAAGTGGGCTTCATCCCTGGGATGGAAGGCTGGTTTAACATACACAAATCAATAAATGTAATCCAGCATATAAACAAATCCAACGACAAAAACCATATGATTATCTCAATAGATGCAGAAAAGGCCTTTGATAAAATTCAACAACCCTTCATGCTAAAAACTCTCAATAAATTAGGTATTGATGGGATGTATCTCAAAATAATAAGAGCTATCTCTGACAAACCCGAGCCAATATCATACTGAATGGGCAGAAACTGGAAGCATTCCCTTTGAAAACTGGCACAAGACAGGGATGCCCTCTCTTACCACTCCTATTCAACATAGTGTTGGAAGTTCTGGCCAGGGCAATCAGGCAGAAGGAAATAAAGGGTATTCAATTAGGAAAAGAGGAAGTCAAATTGTCCCTGTTTGCAGATGACATGATTGTATATCTAGAAAACCCCATCGTCTCAGCCCAAAATCTCCTTAAGCTGATAAGCAACTTCAGCAAAGTCTCAGGATACAAAATCAATGTGCAAAAATCACAAGCATTCTTATACACCAATAACAGACAAACAGAGAGCCAAATCATGAGTGAACTCCCATTCACAATTGCTTCAAAGAGAATAAAATACCTAGGAATCCAACTTACAAGGGATCTGAAGGACCTCTTCAAGGAGAACTACAAACCACTGCTCAACGAAATAAAAGAGGATACAAACAAATGGAAGAACATTCCATGCTCATGGGTAGGAAGAATCAATATCGTGAAAATGGCCATACTGCCCAAGGTAATTTATAGATTCAATACCATCCCCATCAAGCTACCAATGACTTTCTTCACAGAATTGGAAAAAAACTACTTTAAAGTTCATATGGAACCAAAAAAGAGCCCGCATTGCCAATTCAATCTTAAGCCAAAAGAACAAAGCTGGAGGCATCATGCTACCTGACTTCAAACTATACTACAAAGCTACAGTAACCAAAACAGCATGGTACTTGTACCAAAACAGAGATATAGACCAATGGAACAGAACAGAGCCCTCAGAAATAATGCCACATATCTACAACCATCTGACCTTTGACAAACCTGACAAAAACAAGCAATGGTGAAAGGATTCCCTATTTAATAAATGGGGCTGGGAAAACTGGCTAGCCATATGTAGAAAGCTGAAACTGGACCCCTTCCTTACACCTTATACAAAAATTAATTCAAGATGGATTAAAGACTTAAATGTTAGAACTAAAACCATAGAAACCCTAGAAGAAAACCTAGGCAACACCATTCAGGACACAGGCATGGGCAAGGACTTCATGTCTAAAACACCAAAAGCGATGGCAACAAAAGGCAAAATTGACAAATGGGATCTAATTAAACTAAAGAGCTTCTGCACAGCAAAAGAAACTACCATCAGAGTGAACAGGCAACCTACAGAATGGGAGAAAATTTTTGCAATCTACTCATCTGACAAAAGGCTAATATCCAGCATCTACAATGAACTCAAACAAATTTACAAGAAAAAAACAAACAACCCCATTAAAAAGTGGGCAAAGGATATGAACAGACACTTCTCAAAAGAAGACATTTATGCAGCCAACAGACACATGAAAAAATGCTCATCATCACTGGTCATCGGAGAAATGCAAATCAAAACCACAATGAGATACCATCTCACACCAGTTAGAATGGCAATCATTAAAAAGTCAGGAAACAACAGGTGCTGGAGAGGATGTGGAGAAATAGGAACACTTTTACACTGTTGGTGGGACTGTAAACTAGTTCAACCATTGTGGAAGTCAGTGTGGCAATCCCTCAGGGATCTGGAACTAGAAATACCATTTGACCCAGCAATCCCATTAATGGGGATATACCCGAAGGATTATAATTCATGCTGCTATAAAGACACATGCACACATATGTTTATTGTGGCACTATTCACAATAGCAAAGACTTGGAACCAACCCAAATGTGCAACAATGATAGACTGGATTAAGAAAACGTGGCACATATACACCATGGAATACTATGCAGCCATAAAAAATGATGAGTTCATGTCCTTTGTAGGGACATGGATGACGCTGGAAACCATCATTCTCAGCAAACTATCGCAAGGACAAAAAACCAAACGCTGCTTGTTCTCACTCATAGGTGGTAATTGAACAATGAGAACACATGGACACAGGAAGGGGAACATCACACACTGGGGCCTGTTGTGGAGTGAGGGGGGAGGGGGGAGGGATAGCATTAGGAGATATACCTAATGTTAAATGACGAGTTAATGGGTGCAGCACACCAACATGGCACATATATACATATGTAACTAACCTTCACGTTGTGTACATGTACCCTAAAACTTAAAGTATAATAAAAAAAGAAAAATCAAAACGTTATAGAGCGATGCAATTATTATTACTACCATCCTCATCACCGTTATTATCACTATCATCATCATTGCCATCTACCCTACACACTATTTACATGAAGTATTACATCAAGTGGTTGCCACCTTTCCAAATCAGGAAATATTTTAGCCTTTCTAAATTTTTCTTACAGGAAATAGGAAATCTGAATTCAATGTGAACTTTCTCAGTACTCAGAGTCCTGGATTTTCTCTTTTTACTGTAACATTTTATGGAGCCACAGTGTAGCCTAAAGCCAACATAAAAAGATGACCATCCAAATTGCCAGACACAAGTTTCCTCATTAGATGAGACCTCATTGGATAAGAAATACAGTCCTTCCCTTCCCTGCAGGTGGAACCCTGAACATGTGGCCCATTATCATTGTCACTTGTGTTTCCGAGTATTTTTTCTCCATATTTCTGATAGTCTTCCCTTTTGGTTTACTATATAGAAGTTATTTGGGTAGCTTCTGGTTTTCACAGCAATCTTCACAAAACAACTTATTTTTCATCCAGCATTTACCCACCCTTACTTTCACATGTTTTCTAATCCATATTCTTAAATATTCTTAAAATGGTTTATTCTGCAGACAGAAACTCAAAAAAGAAGAGAGAATATATTAAAACAAATCTATAAGCAACAAAAGGCACATGCTCTGCACTGGGAAACAAATTAATTGAATGTAAAAGTAAATGATGGAGTTGGTAATTTTATACGGTTAAAGCTATCATGACAACACCTTACTAAGCCATTTCCATGGGCAAATATTAGTGAGTAGGAGAAAAATGGCCTGGCAAAATGTCATGTTTTAAGACAACCCACAGAATGGGGGAAAATTTTACAAATTATGTATCTGATAAGGATTTGTATCTAGAAAGTAAAGAACAATTACAACTCAATAATAAAAAGACAAATAATCTAAAAGAGTAGGCATATTTTAACATTTTCCCAAAGAAGATATACAAATGGCTAATAAGAATGTGAAAAGATACTCAACATCATTAACCATTAAAGAAATACAAATCAAAATCACAATGAGATACCATTTCACACCCACTAGGAAGGCTATAAGCCAAGAGACAGATAATAGCAAGTGTTAGTGATGGTGTGGAGAAACAGAAACCCTCATATATTGCTAGATATAGAACAGTGTATCCACTTTGGAAAACAATTTGGCAAGTCATCAAAAAGTTAAATAGACTTACCATATGATGTAGTAATTCCACTCCTGGTTATTATATAACCAAGAGAAATTAAAACACATCTTCACAATAACCTGTACACAAATGTTCATAGCAGCATTATTCATAACAGCCAAAAAATGTCTAACAACAGATAAAGGGATAAATATTTTTTGGCGATTTGATAAATGAAATACTGATACATGCTACAACCTGGATGAACCTTGAAAACATTATCACCAGTGAAAGAAGCAGCTGGGCAAGGTGGCTCACACCTGCAATCCCAGCACTTTGGGAGACTGAGGTGGGCGGATCACCAGAGGTCAGGAGTGTGAGACCAGCCTGGCCAACATGGTGAAACCTCGTCTCTACTAAAAATACAAAAGTAGCCAGGCATGGTGGCAGGTGCCTGTAATCCCACCTACCTGGGAGGCTGAGGCAGGAGAACCACTTGAACCGGGGAGGCTGAGGTTGCAGTGAGCCAAGACCATGCCATTGCACTCCAGCCTGGCCAACAAGAGCAAAACTCCATCTCAAAAAAATAAAGAAAGAAGCCAGTCACAAAGGACCACAATTTGTATGATTTATGTGAAACATCCAGAATAGGAAAAAGTATGGGGACAGAAAATAGACTAGTGGTTGCCTTGGACTGAAAGGCTGGGTCTTGGAAATGTGTTTTTTTTTTTTTTTTTTTTTTGAGTAACAAAGATGTTCTAAAATTGATTGTGGTGACAGATGCATAACTTTAAATATACTGAAAGCCATTGAATTGTACACTTTAAATTGGCAAATTGTATGGTTTGTCAATTATATCTGAATAAAGCTATTAAAAATAAATTAAAAGTGTCATGACCGAGACAGGAGAAAAAGCACTTCAAAGAGTAAAAGAAATTGTCTGGGCATGGCGTCTCACGCCTATAATCCCAACACTTTAGGAAGCTGAGGTGGGTGGATCATTTGAGGCCAAGAGTTTGAGAGCAGCCTGGCCAACATGGTGAAAACCAGTCTCTACTAAAAACAAACAAACAAACAGACAAAATCTTCCCAGCTTGCTGAGACACAGCGTGCTGAGTGAGTCAAGACCACTCCACTGCAATCCAACCTGGGTGACAGAGCGAGACCCTGTCACACACACACACACACACACACACACACACACACACACACACAGAAAAAAGAAAAATACAAAACAACAACAACAAAAAAAACAATAAAGAGATGCTACTTTTGGGGTAGGGGGATCAGTTTACAAAAGCAGATGAAAAAATGACAGCAGTAGGCAAGTTCAGATTAAAAATGAAGATGACCTGAATTAAAAATGAAGATGACCTGAATTCAGGTTTAGGTCTGTTTTCCTGAGGAGCTGACCCGACCTGAATGAAGTTCTCCCAAGAAATCTTTTCCCTGAGTGCAAAGGCAGTAGTGAGCCAGGCACAGAGGCAGGTATGAAGAATATGAGTCATGGGCAGATTTGCTTCTCGATTCCTAGAAAGCTGTTTCCCATGAGCCAAATGGGAATGGAAATTGGATTGTGTTGAGAAGGTAGGGAAGGAATGGGGAAGGAGACATGGAAAAATGGCTGGACATTTTTGTGGCATTTTCTTTCATCAAACAGACGATTAAATGATGACCGAGCATAGTGGCTCACAACTGCAATCCCAGCACTTTGGGAGGCCAAGACGAGTGGATTGCTTGAGTCTAGGAGTTCAAGACCAGCCTGAGCAATGTGAAGAGACCCCATCTCCACAAAAAATGAAATAAAATAAAATAAAATAGCCAGGCGTGGTGTTCTGCACCTCAGCGACTTGGGAGGTTGAAATGGGAGAATCATGTGAACCCAGGAGGCAGAGGTTGAAGTGAGCCAAGATCATGCCATGGCACTCCAGTCTGGACGACAGAGCAAGACCCTGTCTCAAAAAAAAAAAAAAAAAAAAAAGAATACAAAAAGTAATAGACAGTAGTAAAACAATGAAAAAACTCAATGTTATCCTAATTTAGCTGTTTTGACTACAGAGGGACTCAAATTAATCTTTGAATCTAGAGGTCAGCCTTAGATTACACCCAAAATTTTAGGCCTCATTTTTTTCAGCATCTGTGCAGTTGTAAATAGGGAAAGAAAATATGGCTAAATCAGGACAGGTAAAAGCAAATCATGTCAACAAACCTCTTTTGTGTAGATTCTAATTTAATCAACATGCAAAATTAGGACCTCTCAGTCAGAGAAAAACATTAACTTCTCAGGGGAAAAAAGTCTCCTGGCAGGCCCATGACAATCACAATATCTCTTTTGCCAGAATGTATTTTCCTTCTCCAGGTAGATCTATCAAATAGCCCTCAAGTGTTCCATTAAGAGCATTTCTCCTTATGCATTCCTTTGTAGTTCAGTCATTGTTGCTGATACAATACTAAACAGAGAACTTTCTTGTAAGCTGGTCTTCCATATATTATTAAAGCATGAGACAAAGAACAACATGTCTACAAGTCTGACAATTTCTAGTCATTTTTGCAGATGTTTCTTCTGTTGTTTTGTTTCTTTCATAAATAAAATGTCTACAGAGCTACCATGAAGCATGTTTCCTGTCTCTTAGTTCAAAGAATATATAACTCCTGGCATTTATTAGAGAACTCCAAAAGCTCATTTGATATTTAGTAAAATATTTAAATCTTTCCACAAAGATCTATGGAACTTTTCTGCTCTTAAAATGAGAACCTGGTGTTATTGTGAAAACCTATGAAATTTAGAGGAAAAGAACAATGATTTTGATTGACATCCAGTAAAAGAGACTGTTTAAGCCTCTTATCTTCTCAGTCTACTCTTCTCTTCTGACAAGGCTTATACAGAAATCTATCCTGACGCTTTCTATTATTGACCCCTACTCCATCCTATGTATAGATACACATAAGCTCTGCATGATAATAAAATAAAGTTGAGAAACTGATGCATAGCGATATTTATTGATACTGTCCAAATAAGACCTGAAGATTGGAAAGCCCCTTAAGCTTCATATAGTACAACTACATCCAATGACATTTGAATACCCTCCGCCAAGCTTATAGTTGAATTCCTCAACCAAAGAGAAGCACCAATTCCATTTCTATATAACTCTCAATGGTTTAAAGTACTTTATAAGTAATTAAAATTATTCTATACCGATTAAGTTCTATATAAAAGCAGCCTATAGGTTGTATTATCTTACATAGTATCACTGAATCTTCTCAACAGCATGATAAGTTAGTTAATATTATCTCCATTTAACAAATGCCAAAACTGAGATTCAAGGAGCTTAGTCAGTTTTATCAGGGCCATACCACAAGGTGTGTCTCAGCCAAGATTCCAAATGTGAGGGTTTACACAGATTTGAATGGAAAAACTCCATGCTTTTCCATTTTGTCTCTTGGGATCCCTGAACCTCTTTTCTTCAAGGCTACTACTCACTTAGAAACAATTCTGCATTCTTTCAAATGTTCTACACCTAAGAATTTTGGAATTATATGCAATGATACCTTCTGAAGGTGTCCCTAATAGTCTGTTTCTCTCTTGATGTGCAACATTCAAAAACTCAACATTTCTGGAGTGGTCTTACCAGGACAGAGTAGGAAAAAATCATCACCTCCCTTTTTCTATAATTATGTCCATGGAGCATAAGAATACACTTGTTGATTTTTATTGGTGATAGGCATTTTGGTTATTTTGTTTTTCCAGTAATATTTTAACCTTCACTTTGGAAGTATTCAAAGACCCTTTCAGTTGCTCATTTCACTCTTGTTCCCTTGATTTACAAATCCACCAAGTAAGATAGGGGTGGGGGGCATTTTTTAACTCTATTTTACAGAGCAGCATACCACAACTGACAGAAGTTGTCATAAAAACACTGAAGAGGTAGAAGTATGACTCAATTCTACATCTACCTCTTGACTTCAGTCTAATGTTGTATTCAGCATGTGCACTGCTAGCAGCAGCTCAGCCAATGATGGGAGCAAACGCGAAGTGACCTGATTTACAAAGCACTGCCTCTTATTCACGTTACTGTAAAGCATATCTCCTCTAATTTCTTTGTGGGAATTTTTTGTTATTGTTTTAATTCAACTATTGGTCTTATGTTTGTCACTGTTTAACTTAATCTTTCTAGGTTCAATTATTACGATATGTGGGGTTGGCTTCTATGCATTCCACAACACTAAATTGGGTAAATGGCAATGAATGCCAAAGCAGGACAAAAATATCAGAGCTTGGTTGACAGTTATGTATTTTCCTTCTTCAGCACTTTAAAGGTGTTTATCCATTGACTCTAGCCTTATCTTTATGAGAATTCTACTAACCTTAATATTGCTCCCCTAAACATATTATTTCTTATTTTTCTAGATCAACAGTTGCCAAACTTTTTACTGTAATTGGGAAGACAGTAAATAATTTCAGCTTTTTAGACTAAGATAAAAAATTGAGACCATTATGTAAATATTTATATAATAATGATATTAAAAAATTCTTAAACTGTGTGTAACCACATGCAAGTTCAGGCGCTTACTGCTCAGAAGCCGAAAACTCAACAAGCAAGGTGTGGTGAAATGAAGCAATTTTATTCAAATGCTAGCAGTTGAGAAATGGCCAGGCTTATTCCCTTAGAAGGCCATTCCAAACTTCAGGCTGGAGAGAGGGGCTCAAAAAGGGGAACTTGGAGTGAGAAGCATGAAGGAGTGGTGCTGGGTACGAGGTCTGCATGTCTTGTTCCAGTGGCTACCTTGAGTCATGGTCCACCTGGGGTACAGGCAGGTGTCATCTCAACAATGGCCAGATTATAAACTAACCACTTTGAGGTAATCTCTGGAATTTTGCAGCTGTGTCTCTATACCTGGTTTTTCTCAAGATTAGTCCCTGAAACTTCCGATTAACCATGAAAGTAGACAAACTAGCAGTACAAGGGAGTGTCTGGTGGGAAGGTAGGGGAACAAAGAGTTTTTAAAGTATGTTTCAATGCTAAAATCAAGAAAGGAAAACAGTTTCAAAATGCATTTTGAAGCTAGGCTACTTGGTTATAAGTCCACACTTTCAAATTCTATTCCATTTCTATGGAAAGTGGGTGACAGAGTCAGTTTGTCTACTTCTTGCTGAAAAGGGGTGTACTTAGGGGGTACTAGAATGAAATCTATTTCATTGGAGTTGGAAATATTCCCAGCTTCACAGACTCATAGCAGAAACTTATTGGAGCATTGTGGTGTGAGGACCTTTTTTGTTTTTGAGAAAGTCTGTTATGTATCCCCATGTAAAGTGTACACCAGCAGCAAAATTCACAGCAGCCAAAGAGGACAAGGAGAAGAGTATCAACCACACTGTATATGAAAGTGTTAGTATTATTTGTCCTAATCGTTTTACATATTGCTCCACTCTAAAGTTATTTAAGAAATCCAAAGGCTGGATTCCTGGTAAGAGGGTCTGGAAGGGTCTCCTGTAAATAATTTCAAAAGGGTTTAATCCAAGGCCACTTCAGGTGCTACTGTGATGCAGAGCAATGCAATGGGCAAAACTTTATCCCAGCTTAAATGTTTCCTGGAAGAGTTTTGCCACCATCTTCTTAATGATATGATTCGTCTTCTCCATCTGTCCCATTGACTGGTCTCATGACAAATGTAACCTCCATTTGATCTGCAATGCTTGACTTACCTTGTGGGTAACTGCTGAAATAAAATAAGGGCCATTGTCACTCTGTATAAAACATGGAAGTTCGAATCTGGGAATTATTTCTTTTCACAAAGCTTTGACTACTTCAGTGACTCCTTCAGACTTAGTGGGGTATGCTTCAACCCATAGTGAGAAGGTGTCTACAAACACCAGAAGGAGCCTGCAATTTCCACTGGCCTTGGGCATTTGAGTAAAATCTAGTTGCTAATCTTTAAACAGGCACAGCCCATTGTACAGTACCCCTTTCTTAGGAGGATTGTGTTCGGTCTGAGGATTATTTTTATCACATCAAATGGGTCCCCATGTGATCTTCTGAACAGTTCTTCAGAGATATAGGCCCCTATCGTGTGGCTGCACAAGGTTGACTGACGCATACCCCCCATAGTGTGTTCTTTCATGCAGATGTTTGTAAACTGGGCACACTAGGGCTTCACAGAGTAGGACCATTCCAGGAGTGTTAGTTTTTCAAGACAAGTTAGAGTTTGCATTAGCAACTCCCCAGTCACAGGCTAATCCTTCATCTTGCTTGGTATAAAGAGGTTTCAAATCCAATAGGTCTAAGTGGATATTAAAGCCCCAAGCATTTGTGCTTCTCAAGCAGCCCATTTTGCAGCCTTGTCCACTGCTTGCTTTTCATTGATCACTTGGAAATCATCTTTTTGGTGTCCAGGGCAGTACATGATGGTGACCTAGGTAGGTGAGGATACTGCTTCTAACAGGGCCAGGATTTCCACTGGATATCTAATGTCCTTATTCTCTGATATTAAAAGGCTTCTCTCATTCCAGATAGCCACATGAGCATGCACCACCAAGAAGGCATATTTAGAGTCAGTGTAAACATTTATCCACCTTCCTTGGCACAGCTCTAAAGCCCCTGTTAAGAGCAATCAGTTCAGCTTTCTGAGCAAAGGACCTGGTCGGGCAGGCATAACCCTCTATTACCTTGACCATAGTCACCAAGGCATACCCAGCTCTATGTTGTTTGTTTTCCATGAAGATCTTCCCATCAGTGTATAGCTCCCAATATGGAACAATTATCATCTGATCTGACAAGTTCAGCCCGCTGGAATAAAACTCATCAAGCATCTCCAGGCAGTCATGCTCAGCCACTGGTTAGGCTCAGCAGCCAGGAGGAGGATTCAGAGCTACGGTGATTTGCAAGGCGATGTTTGAGTCATCTAAAAGGATGGCCTAATGTTTGTTCATTTGCCCCACAGTGAGCCAGTAACCTCCATTTTGCTCAAGCAAAGTTAGCACATCATGAGGCACAAGCATGGTGACTGGCTGTCCCATGGTAAACTTTTCTGCTTTGCAAGATCTTGCAAGTGTCAGCTATTGCCCAGAGACAGGAAGGACATCCCCTAATTGTTTGATCTAGTTGTTTTGAAAAATAGGATATAGGTTGGGAGCATATCCCTCGGTATTTTATAGATAAGCACTCCCAGTCCTGTGCCTTGTTTTTCATTGACATAGAGCTTAAAATGCTTTGGGGGACCTGGTAGACCCAAAGGTAGAGCTGATATTAGTTTTCTTTGATGATGTCAAATGCATGCTGGCATTCAGTTGTCCAGGGAAAGGACTCTGAGTCTAGTCTCTTTAAGGCTTCATAAAGGAGCTTATCCATTACTCCAAAATTAGGAATCCAGATCCAGCAGAAGCTGGCCATGCCCAAGAATCCTCGCAGCTGTCTCCTATTCTCAGGGGCTTTAATGGCAGCTATTACCTGTTTTCTGCCAGACATCAGACTCCTTTTGCCTTCTTTTCACTTGAATCCAAGATAGGTTTCTCTTTATTTACAGATTTGAGCCTTTGTGGGGACACTTTATATCTGCACATTGCCAGGTGGTTTAGAACTAGGAAGGTTTTGGACAGGCATTTATCATAGTTGGGACTGGCTTTCAGCAAGTCATCTATGTATTGCAGCAGAACTCCCTCATCTAATTGTATGCATCTCACATCATTTGCCAGTATATCCCCCAAAATAATGGGTGAACATTTGAATCCTTGAGGCAACACTGGCCAACAGTATTGGAAGGTTGTTTCTGTCTCTGGGCCTCTCCATTCAAAGGGAAATATCATCTGGCCCTTTTCTTCAATTGGAATGCAAAAAAAGGCATCTTTTCAGTATAACACTGAAAACCACTTAAGGCTCCTAAGTATAGCAGTTAATAAAGTGTATGGATTAGGCAAAGTCAGATGAATATCTTGGATGATTTTGTTAATAGCACTTAAGTCTTGAGCAAACCAATATTTGTTTGAGTGAGGTGTTTTTTCTTTCTTAAGATGGAGTTTTTCTTTTTTTTTTTCTTTTGCTCTTGTTGCCCAGGCTGGAGTGCAATGGCGTGATCTTGGCTCATCGCAACCTCTGCCTCCCAGGTTCAAGTGATTCTCCTGCCTCAGTCTCCTGAGCAGCTGGGATTACAGGCATACACCACCATGCCTGGCTAATTTTGTATTTTTAGTAGAGACCAGGTTTCTCCATGTTGGTCATGCTAGTCTTGAACTCCCAACCTCAGGTGATCTGCCCACCTCAGCTTCCCAAATTGCTGGGATTACAGGTTTGAGCCACTGCACCTGGCCAAGTGAGGCTTTCTTATAGGCAGAATGGTAGTGTTATACGGGGAGCTGCAAGGATGAATTCATCCATTTTCCAGAAACTTTTGTGAAACAGGCTGAATTCCTTCAAAGTCTTCCTTTTTCGAAAGATATTGTTTTTCCAAGGTATTTTAGTTCCCTCTTTTATTTCTATATATACCAGTTTTGCATTTTTAGCTCATCTGGGGTCTTGTCAGTCTCTTTTAGACCTCTAGGGGAAAGCTCTCTTTCTCTTTCTTCTCAGGGTAAGTGAGCAGCATCTGCACGTCACAGTGCATTCTCACCTGGGACCTGCAGGCGTAACTGCTATTTTTTCTAGGAAAAAAGTCACTCGAGTATTTCACTTACATAGCAGGTCTTGTCCCAGTTAGAGATATGGGGCATTCTGGCATATAGAGGAACCTGTGTGTCAATTACAGGTTTCCCAATTGACATTCTAAAGGCTGTCAGAAAGTTTTTTATTGTATTCTCCCTGTAACTCCTGTCACAGGTACAGTCACCTCTGTGCTTCTTCTTTCTGGGGTGTTAAGAACTGAATAAGTCACACCCCAGTTGACAAAAAAAAATCAATCCATTTCTTCCCCACTGTCTGTTGTACCCAGAACTACTGTGGGGAAATTTTAATTGGCTCTAGAGATTTAGGGGCGCCTCTGGGTATCCCTATCTACTGCCAGAGCCATAGCTCTGTTCCACCATTTGCCGATGGGCTTTTTCCTAAGTGAGCACCTCCTTTTTCTGGATGTTGAATCCCCTTTTTAGGGGGAGTCAGCCTTCTAATGATCCTCTTCCCTGCAATAGCCACAAAAATTGCAGCCCAGAGTCTCTCCCCAACTTTTGTTCTTCTTCTGACTTGGAGGTTTCCTGATTGTCTCCATATATACTGTGGCTGGTTTTTGCTTTTTCAGCTTCCTGCCATTGTATCTTTTGAAGGCAATTATCCTTTGAAAGCAATACCATCCATCTGAAAAAGGGTCATTCCTAGTGCAATCTCTGACTTTTCTGGCTTTCCCTTTATATCAAGGGTGCTCTGTGGTATGAAAGTCATGTTTGTCATCCTTGAGTTCTCAGGGTTCTTCATGTCTATATGAGTATATCTATGGAAGGCTTGGTAAATATGTTCCAAGAATTCAGAGGGGTCCTCATTTGCTTTTTGGGTGATTGCTTGAACTTCCTTTAGGTCTTCTGCTTTGGCAACCCCCTTCTTAGTCTTACCAGAATGCATGTTTAGTAATGTTCTAGTCAGGCTCTTTCCCCTCCTGCCTCCACCTTTTTTTTTTTTTTTTCCAGACAGAGTTTTGCTCTTGTTGCCTAGGCTGGAGTGCAATGGAACAGTCTCAGCTCACTGCAACCTCCACCTCCTGGGTTCAAGTGATTCTCCTGCCTCAGCCTCCAGAGCAGCTGGGATTACAGGGATGCACCACCATGCCCGGCTAATTTTTATATTTTTAGTAGAGATGGGGTTTCACCATGTTGGTCAGGCTGGTCTCGAACTTCTGACCTCAGGTGATCCACCCACCTCGGCCTCCCAAAGTGCTGGGATTACAATTGTGAGCCACCGCTCCCCCTTTTCATTGGGATCCCAATTAGGGTTCATGGCCAGAACTGCCCTTGGTGGGTTGAGAGTACCATTTGTGTTTGCTTTGTGGAGACACCAAGTCTCCTCATTTGCCTTATCTATGACTAGCTTTCTCTTGTCTGAGGTAGGAGCATAGTTAAAAGAGACCAAGCATCTGCCCAGATAGGCTGACGGGTGGCAAAGATAGATTCGATAAGATCAGTCATTTTCTGAGGGTTCTCTCTATAAGGGTGGGTTGGAGCTTTTCCACTTTAATACTTTGGACGTTGAGAAGGGGATGTAAATCCAGCTATATCCAATGGGTCCAAGATGCCCATGGGCATCCATCTAAGTGGGTATTTGCCTTGTTCTGGTCATGGTTTTACCCTGTTCAAAGTTGGTGCCCTGCCATGTCTCGGAGGGAAAGACCTTTCTAAATCCTTTATCATACTGAGGCGGAGGAGCAGCGCTTGCCCCCAGGTCTGGTGCCTCATAAGGCAATGCTGACGCAGCCGAGACAGCCACCAAAAGAACAGCTGCTGCTGTTGCAACCATGGGAGGGGGTTGCACAGTGGCCATGGGCACGACTGCTTGAGCAGCTCCTGGAGGAACCACTAGAGCCACTACAGCTGGGTCACTGCAAGCAGAGTGGCTGCTGGATCAGCTGCAGCCATAGCATCTGGGTCCATTGGAATGGCCAGATTTAAGGCAGTAAAAAGGCCTATCTCTTCCTCATCTCTTTCCTTTTGGGTCTGGCTGTCTGGTTGGGAAGGGCCCTTTTCCCTCCCTTTACACAGCCAGCAGTTGATGTCCCACCCTGGCCAGAGTCCTGATTATGCAACAGCATGAAAACCTGGAAATAAGGCATTTCCTCCCATTTTCCAGACTTCTGACAAAACAATTCTAACTGTATTTGAGTGCAGGATTGAGTACTTCTGTTTGGAGACCAACAGTACAATTGGACTTTATACAGAGTCCAAACAGTATTGTACTAAAAAAATCATTTTTCTCTTCCTCATGGGTTCATAGCTATAGGCCATCTAGTTACCCAAGATATCTCCCAGGAGACTCCCAGAATGGATTGACACTTTGCCACCCATCTTGGCCCTGTTTTTGTACCTGTACCAATTGTCTCTGTCAACCAAATCTACAATGACAACATCTGTTTTCTCTCTTACTTCTGCACCTGTACCAGTTGTCTTGTGTAACTAGATCACCAGAAGTCAGACGGATTCTCCTGAAATTTCACTTCCAGTTTATATAACATCATGCACAATGCCAATAGGCATGTTTGTGCAAATCTCACCACAGCTGACAGTCAAGGATGTCAAAGAATGAGCTCTCTGAGCAAGTTGGTGAGTGGCAATAACTAGCACAGCTTATTTTGATACCTTGACCTTTCCCCAAACTCAGGTTCTGCTGTATTCACCACCCTGGTAAACAGTAACAGAATGACAGCTAATAAAATGATGAACCAGGAAGACAAAAAGGGTTAAAGGATTGGAGTTGGGACTGTTCAAGGATTTAGCCCAGGTGTTTTCAGTCTTTTCCTCACATAAACAGCATTGAGAAACACAAGCAGAGAGACGGCCCTGCTTAGAAAAATCTGCCAAAGAGTTCTGATGCTTTCCTCCCCGACAAGGTCTGGCATAGTTGTAAGAAGTACTCTGGGGTCCCAGGAAGGACAACTGAACCAAAAGCCAGGGAGATGGAAGTCGTTCTCCTTCAAGGCCAGATTCCTGGATTGAGCAGAGGCTGTGTGAGTCACTTTCAAGTGAAAGAGAGAAATAGAGGATGAGAAAAAGAGAGATAAGGGCCCAAATATAGATGCCACACACATACAGCTATATGTTCAGACAGCCTGATCTCAAACTGATCCCCACCAAGGGGACTAGGTAAAAACTCTAAAGCCTCAGAAAGCCCCATGAGCAACTAAGTCCAAACAGAGGAGAGTCCAAGTGGTGCCACAGATGATGTACACACAGATGGTATCACAAGCAGCTAGGTCCAGAGCAGAGCCCAAGTGACACAACGCAGAGGAGACAGAGGGTTTCTGGATGCACTCTGGTTGACCTACCCAGTTCTGAAGTTCAGTGACTTTTCAGTTGTCACTTTCCTTGCACCAGCGAAGCATGGTAGACAGCTGGTGTCATGATGGGAAATGAAGGGAGATTCCCCAAGAAAAAAGCATCTCATCATCTCCTGGGAAAATCCCTAGAGCCCCAACCACAGGGTCAGCTAGCCACAAGCAGCTGGCATTTACGAGGGGCTTTTGCCCCACCTGGTAGCTTGAACAGTTAATTTCTGGAACACTGCCACAGCTAATTGCCTAGCTCATTGGAAACCAGGAAGACAGGCAAGTGGAATCAAAATGCACAGTCCTCACATGGGGCACCAAATTTGTAACCCCAAGCAAGTCTGCTGGCTCGCTGCTCAGAGGCCAAAAATATGAGAAGCAATGTATGGTGAAAAGAAAACTTTATTCAAAGTTAGCATCTGGGGAATGGCTAGGCTTATGCCCTGAAAAGAACATTCTAAACTTTAGGCTACAGAGAGGGATTTTATTTTATTTTTTATTAATTTTATTTATATTTTTAGTAGAGATGGGGTTTTACCATGTTGAGCAGGCTGGTCTCAAACTCCTGGCCTCAAGCGATTGCCCCACTTTGGCCTCCCAAAGTGTTGGAATTATAGGCATGAGCCACCATGCCCAGCGTGGAGAGAGGGATTTTAAAAGGGGAACTTGGAATGAGAGGCATGCAGGAGTGGTGCTGTGTACAAGGTCTGTGTGTCTTGTTCCAGTGGCTCTCTTAAGTCATGGTCCACCAAGAGTGCAGGCTGTGTCATCTTAACAATGGCCAGATTGTAGACTTATCACCTCAAGGTAATCTCTAGAATTTCACAGCTGGGTCTCCATGCCTAGTTTGTCTCAAGATTAGCCCCTGGAACTTGTAAGTAGGCATATAATCAGATATGCTAGCAGTGCAAGGGAGTGTCTGATGGGAATGAAGGGAAACCAAGAGTTTTAAAGTATGTTTCAAGGCTAAAAGCAAGAAAGAAACCAAAAATGCGTTTTGAAGTTAGGCTACTCAGTTACATGTGGGCTGTTAAAAAATCAGTTTCTGAGCCACATCTAGCCTGCAGACTACAGTTTTCTGACCCCTTCTAAATGCTTTTATGATTTTCCCTTTTATCCTTGATTTTCAGCCTTTTAACTATGAGATATATAAGTGTGTTTTACTTATACTTATTCTGCCTCAGGAGTACTAAACTTCTTGGACCTGAGGGTTGATGTCTTTGGTCAATTTTGGAAAATTCTTGGCTATTATAAGTTTAATTTTTTTCTGCCCCACTCTCTTCTCTCTTTCATTTCCCATATGTTATATTATTTAAAATATCCATGCATGTAGTGAGTTCTCTGCTCGGTAATTTGATTTATTTTATTTCTTTGTATTTCAGTTTGGTTATTTTTTATTAAACTTTGTGTTCACTGATCTTGTCTTTTGCTATGTCCAGTCTGCTGTTAAGTTCATCACATAAACTCTTTATGTCTTATATTTTTCAGCACTTATGTTTCCATTCAGTTCTTTTATCTAGTTTCCACTTCAATGAAATTTTCCATTTGTTTATGCAAATTGTTCACCACTTCCACTAGATATTTATAAACATATTTATTACAGTTATTTTAAAACCTTTGACTGCTAATTCCAACATCAGGGTCTTCTGTGGTTCTGCTTCTGTTGATTGTT
Source organism: Homo sapiens (assembly GCF_000001405.40). Lineage (NCBI taxonomy): Eukaryota > Metazoa > Chordata > Mammalia > Primates > Hominidae > Homo > Homo sapiens. Next base: position 51,952,124 of record NC_000018.10, on the reverse strand, counting down.
TTATATGCTAGGTTATAGGTCTTATTTTTCTGCTTCTTTGTTTCTTGGTTACTTATTTTTATTTTTTTGTAAGCCAGACATTGTATGAAAAAAAAAAGAGCCTGGAAGGAATAATGTTTACCCCAAGATAAGATCATACAACTTTTTCTCTCAGACTGTAAGTATGAGGCTGATTCACTCTAATATCCAATTAAGCTGGGTTTCGTCTTGTTGCAGCTTTAGAATGATTCAGCCTACCACTGACTTCAAATGTTTTATGGTGAGAACAGAACTTTCCCTAAGCCGAGCTTAGGATCTGAACACCACTGGGATGATGTACTTATCTTTATGCTGCATAGTCAGCCACTAACCTTCTGAACTACAAGAGATCTCTCTCAGCTTTATAACTCAGCAATCAGCTTTTTTGGAGTCCCCGGGGAGTTCTCACTCCGAAGCCCTTGCCTGGATTTCAGTGCTTTGGGAAATCTCTCTACTCTGCTGCCCTATCCTTACCTTTCAGTAAAGACTGAATGCACCTTAGTGCAGCGGTTCTCTCTTAACTCTTCTTTTTCCAACCTTCATCTGGGTATTTCTGTTCTGTTAATAAGGCCCATGCAACTTGTGGAGGTGGGATCTCACCTCGCTCTCCTGTCTTATACCCTGCCTTTGAGTGTGGCACTATCTTACAGGCATAAAAGCCCTGTGCTCTTTGGGATAAGGCCAATCTTGCTCAGTTTTCTTCTGCCCTGTTTTGGTTACCTGCTGACTTTCATTTAGGGAAGGCACACTTTGCCTCAGAAATGCTCTGTTTTCCTCCTTTGCCACCAGCCCTCTGTGGGTTATTCTCATGCACTCAATTAAGGCATCATGGGAAATATTTGAAGATTGGATGCATATTTGCTTTATTAATGTGGATCCTTGGGGTTTCTATTCATTGTGCTTGCCCAGATGTGTGAATTTGAAGTGTGTCAAAAGTTAGGCTGGTTTCTCCTTAGCCCTACCTCTGGGGTCCTTAATTATCTTTCTTCCATGTCCCTAGAAATGAAAATAGCCATAAGACCCTTCTTTCCTAGAAAGCATTTATTTCTTCCTGAAACAAAGCTGATTTGTATTTTTTTTTTTTTTTTGAGATGGAGTCTCGCTCTGTTGTCCAGGTTGGAGTGCAGTGGCGCGCTCTCGGCTCACTGCAAGCTCCGCCTCCCAGGTTCATGCCATTCTCCTGCCTCAGCCTCCCGAATAGCTGGGACTACAGGCAGCCACCACCACGCCTGGCTAATTTTTTGTATTTTTAGTAGAGACGGGGTTTCACCATGTTAGTCAGGATGGTCTCGATCTCCTGACCTCGTGATCCCCCTGGCCTCGGCCTCCCAAAGTCCTGGGATTACAGGTGTGAGCCACCATGCCTGGCCAAAAATTATAATTTTTAAATTTTTCTTTAATTTTTTCTTACTATTAGGATATGTGATGGTCTCTTGCTCTTGGAAACTTTCTACATTCTAATCCGGGTAAAAATTCTGCTCAACCGTTCCTTAACCGTATAACCTTGAGCAAGTTATTTAAACACTATTACTTCAGCTTCCTATCCATAAAATGGGGATGATAACACTACCAATCTCATTTTTTATTGCTGACAAGAGCAAATACAAGTAAAACATCATGTGCTTAGTAGGTGGCAAGTACTCAATCATTAAAGATTACAACAAGCATTACACCAGACATTTTACTTAATTTGCATGCTGTTTCTTCAAAACTCACCAAAAAAATTGCAGAAAAGTTTTATCACCACCTTACAGATGAAGAAACTGAATCTCAGTGAGATAAGAACCTCGCTGAGAATATAAGTAGTTGACCTATTTGGGAATTTAACCTAGATTTTTCTTATGCACTTTTTACTACCTCACTCTGTCTTCTCATCAATTAATGAGCCAACTAGGGATCAACTAGGCCAGCTAGGCCATCTAAGACAAGTACCCCAAAGGCACAACGAGCTTAGAAATGTGGGCAATTTTTGGTGTCAAAAATGCTAATCTAGTAATACCATTCAGTCACAACTAACTCACAGTTTAATTTGAGAATAAGCTGGGTATTAGGAGATTTAACCAAAAGTAATAGGATCACAGGTAAGATGTGCTTTACCCAGTCTCCTCCCAAGCCTTAGGTCGTTTAGACTCCTAGCAAGATAAGATCAGACAACGTATCATTTTAAGGACCTCTCCTCTAACCAGCAAACTTTAAGGGTATGGTCTATATTACTTAGCTATTACCACAATAATGCTTCCTAAGCAAAAACCCCAAAACTCAGTGTCTGAAACCAAGCATTCACTCTTCATATACACGAGCCTATAGATTGGCTATGGTAGCTTGGTTTCAGTTTAGGTTTGGTCTGTGTGCCTCCTTCTTAGGCCCGGCTAGAGGAACAGCTACCTGGAGGAACCAACTGAGGAATGTTTTCATGGCTGAGATCAGAGGCCCCCAGAAGGCTGAGCAGAAACTGGAAAGTCTTTTAAAGCTTTGGCTCAAAACTGTCACTTTTGTCTATAGTTCATTGGCCAAAGCAAGTCACATGGCCAAACCCAAAATCAATGGGGTAAATATATGCCTCCCTCCCATAGAGGCCAGGTGAAGGGAGTAAATACTTAATGGGTACTAATGTAATTTGCCACACCCAAAGACTGATACTGTCCTTTAGAGTCAGATTTCAACATCAGAAATTATACAATTCTCCACATCTATCAGTAACTGAGGGAAAGAGAGTTGGGCTAACGTGAAACTGGCTCAATTGAAATCATAAGCCAGAATGGGAAAAACTTCCTTATAATCATCACCACTTAGTTCTTTTGACATTGCAAACCGTAGATATTCCCATGTTGGTAGGAGTTATTCGAGGAGTGTTACTGTCCTGTGTAGACTGATCATAGCTGTCCGTTTTTTGCATTTCACATGAGCTGAAGCCTTTTGAGTCAGAGGCCTTGGCTTGCAAAAATAGTAGGATAGGTATCCAACCTGGAGAATATCACAAATAATAAACTGCTGGATTCCATATTCTTTAACTTACATCTTCAGGAGATCATGTTTAGTAGATACAAAATTTAGTCATTTTCTAGGAGTAGGGCTGGAAGGGTGTATTTAGTGGCCACATAAAATACTCATCTCTTCACACTAAAACAGTACAACTGCAGTGACCCCTAGACCAATTCACCACCTGCCAACTTAAAATTGCTGATTAAAAAATAAAACAGAGTGTGGGAGAGAATTCTATAATTTCAACAGGAGAAAATTGTCATTTCATCGTTGACTGTTTGCTCAGTGAGGAGTAGCACTAAAATTTGATTTTTCCTATGAACTTCCTTTAGAAAACACCATTTCTAAAAATTGTATGCAAAGCCATAGATCATAAGGGCATACATAATGACTCTTTAAAGTTATATAATGTTTTTTCTTCTCTAGCAGATTGCTAAAAAGATAGTTTAGCTCATTAGTGACTGCCAAGATATCTCTGGGGTATTATAGCTGAGTATTATAACACAAACAGTTCCCATAATTTGAAATGAATTATTTGGAATATTTAAAGGTATCTCCTTACTGCAGATGCTTTATGGCACAATAAGACCTTAACTATACCTGACTAAATGCATTAGTAAATCAACATTATTGAAAAGTACTTGGGTGACATGAATTATTTTCCAAATTGCCACAGTGGCAAGAATGTGTATTTGGCTATAGCTGCAGAAAAAAAGGACAAATTGCAGGTCAGCAAGATTTCCAATGAGACTGCATTGTCTTGGGGGTTATTGAGAAATCCATGAGATGACAGGATAAAATTCAATGGAATGGAACAGCATTATGCATAAATGCAGAAAATGGTGACTCCAAATGTTTTCGTTATCTTTGACTTTTAGAGGTAGAAGAAACAGGGCTGAGAGGCAAACAACACAGAAAAATAAAGACCTTCAGCATGGCTTGTACTATATCATCTTCTGTTTTCTCTTAGTTTCTCTGTATGTTTGTCTTGGATGGAGAACTAGATTTTAAGCACATTAAAAGCCATGCCATACTAGTATAACAGTTATGTTAGCACTTACCCTATGTCGGGTGTGGCCCTACATGCTTTACAGAAATCAACTCAGTTAATTTCCACAATAACACCATAGAGTAGGTTTTTTATTTTTTCCATTTTACTGGATGAGAAAAACTAAGAAACAATGTGGTAAGTAAAACTTGCCCAGCATCACATACAGTGAGTAGCATAGCTAGGATTTGGATACAGACATTTTGATTCCATAGCCCATGATCCCAACCACCATGTTAGACAGTTTCCTACCCTCCTATACCCCCACTGCTCTTAGCTATATGCTGGACAAAGAGGATTTCCTGAATGTATTCCTCTTGATGAAATTCTTGCTAATAAAATAAATAAAAATGTATTTTTTGATTCATTTAGAAAATAAGGGTTTTATCTCATTTTCTTATGGTTTCTTCTATCACTACCTCAAAGTCTTCTATTACATGCAGATGCTCAAATATCCCCTATTCATGCTTGTCAGAAATGTTAGTTATGTTATACATATTATGCTTGGAGGATTGTCTTCAGGAGAATTCTGTGGCTGCATCCTGACTCAACAAAAAACAGTGCTTTAATAAATTAGCAATATCTGCCCTGGGTATAGAATCAGGGAATAGTAGAGACACACTAAGGTTATACGGTAAAATACTGTCCAACTCTCCCTCAGAATGTCCTGACCCCAAATGACACCCCCACTGATCTCCCTCCGATCCTTTCTGTTTGTACTTGCTCTATGTGTAACTTTGCATTGTAAGAACTCCAGGTTATTGCAGTGCAGTTTAGTAGAATGAATGAAAGCTTTAGAATTACCAGACTGCGGTTAAATCCTGTCTTTTATACTTGTATTAAAAAAAAATAGAAAGCTCAGCTCCCTATCCTCTATCTGAATAGTGTGTACAATGTCTCCCTCATGGTGTAATTACGATAAGTTAATGACATAAGGCAGAGGGCAGCAAACACTTTCTGTAAAGGGCCAGATAGCAAATATTTTAGGCTTCGTGGGCCATAGTTTGTGATCAGAACTAAGGGAATGTAAAAGCATATCTTTAGCAGTCAGGAGCGTTAATTTTCTTCAATGTTTAGAGATTCTTTTTCTTTTTTCAGTATAAAACATTGAAATAGTCAAATTACTATATTTAAAATACAGACATACCTCAGTGAGCTATAATAAATTATTATGGATAATTAATTCCTTAATATGAATGAGTATGTCAGGTAATAAGAGTAACAAATCTCACTGAAGTGAGAAGGACACATGCTGGTGTCCCCATCTCACAGGTGAAGAAACAAGACTCCAGAGAAAGCCAGGGGCAGAGCCTAGATAGGCTGTGAGGTCTCTGGAATCCTGAGGTGGTACTGGTCCTTCTCTCAAATCCCCATTTCCTAAGAGACAACCCAGTCATAGAGCCACTAACCTGCATTGTCTCTCCACCCCTACAAAAATGCCCGGGCCCCTCTCTTCTCTGACAGCAGAGGGAGAAATTCTAAAACAGTACAAAGACAAACATTCACTTCCCCTCCTGCCCTCTGGCCTATCCCCCCTACCCCACTATCATATCCCACTGTCTGCATAACAGGAGGCTTCAGGGCAGTTGCCTCAGACTTAAATTCCAGCTCTGCCCCTTACACAGGTGTAATCTTAGATAAGTTACTTTTCCTCCTGTTGCTCCATTTTCTCATCTATGAAATGTGGCCAACAATACCTTTGCCAGGAGATTGTGAGAACCGATAAATTAGTTTGTTTTCTGCTGCCATAACAAAGTAGCTGATACTGGGTAATTCATAAAAAGCAGATTTTTAAAATTCCCAGTTCTGGAGGCTGGGAAGTCCAAGATTACGACACAAGCAGGTTAGGTGTCTTCTGAGAGTCAGGTCTCTGCTTCCAAGGCAAAGCCCAAAGTGCTACATCCTCCAGAGGGGAGAAACACTGTGTCCTCACATGGCAGAAGGGCAAAAAGAGAAGAAACTCCCTCCATCAACCCCCCTTATAAGGGCACCTAATCCCATTCACAAAACAGGAGCCCTTGTGGCCTAATTACCTCTTAATGGCCCTAGCTCTTAATACCATCACATTAACAACATTTGAATCTTAGAGGGGACACATTCAAAGGATAGCAGATGAGGAATGTAAACACCTGCCTCTAGGCCTGGCACACAGGAAGTGCTCAATCAATAAATTCTAGTTTTCTTCCATTTCCCCAAATAAACCTCATAGGACTGGATTCACAATCTCTAGCCTTAAAGTCAGAGAAAGCCATTAAAGAGGAGTGTGAACAGGAAACAATTTGCAGCTTAAATTTCCTTTTAAATGATTAGCAAATAAGTGTTTTCTAACTCCATTATTAATATTGCCTTTGAAATAAAACTTGTCGCTTTAATGTGTTACATTGTGCAAAGATAGAACTGCTGCCCTCGAGGAGGAAAAAGGAGAAGTTACAGCAGATGATAAAGAGGAACACTGGGATGATGCTTAGGAGCTTTTCCTCCCCTCTGCCAATAAATAAAAGCTATTTTCTGTGTTTTCTCAATTCTAATCTTATATTTCTTGCCATTTTCACTGAGTTCCCAGAGGGGAGCCATCCTATTGTTGACATTTAATAATGCCAAACAATAATCGAGGGCTCATTAGGCCAGAGGAGGCCAGGAGAAGTGCTCAGCATTGGTGGCTGCCTCTGGGTAGGGTCCCATTCAAATCATTTTAGAGAGTGGGGGCTGATGCTATTTGTAAGGCTGTCATGAGAAAGAAACACCACCACCACCAATCCAACTATAAATAAAAGATGATGAAGACAATGACGGTGCTGCTTTGTGTAGACTAGGGAGGCTAAATGTGGGGGGAATTCAGAAATTGTACTTGACCTTGAAGGAAGGATAAGATTCAGATAAGCTAAAATGAGGTAGAGATGCATTCTGCATTGGCACTGAGTGGGTAAAATGTATGTCTTGCTTGAAGCACAGTGAGTGAACTACACAACTCACACCTCAAGTTTCCTTTTTCTAAGTTAAAAGGCTTTTTTGGTATAAAGAACAAGGGTCAAAATATGATTTTTCCCTACTTGCAGAGGTGAAAGCATATTACCTAAGAAAGTCTTTTGTCTTCCTTCCATTCAAAATCTTCACCAAGTGGTATCAACACACTTTAACCTAAACACTACCCTAATTCCCCTGTTCATCTTGACTGGAGTGGGATGGCTTAGCCACTGCCAGCCACAGAGCTACTATCTGTATATCCTGCATACATAGTAGCAGCAAATCACACTGGACCAAAACACTTAGGGAACTGGGGGCCCATGTTGGTATTTAGGAAGAAGGGCTCCCAGTAAACTGAATTTTCTGCTCAACTCAGAATTAACCAGTTCAATGATTGATACTGAAAATCCTTCAAATAATGACTAAATCCATTATCCTATCTCAATGGACAATCTAGTGAAGGAAAATAAACCCTTCCTTGGTGGTTTGGGAAGCTGTAGGTCCTTGGGTTTATCTTTGAGCACTAAGCCTCCTTGCCTCACACAAGAGAATGAAAAGGAGAAAGTGTGCTGGAAACTAGACAGTTTGAAAGCTGAGTCCACAACAATCTCAAGAAATCAAGGGAGACTTACTTATTCTTCTTTAAGCTAAATGGGTAATACCAATTTCTTTTCACGTGGCATGTCTCTTTCCCCAAAAAGGCAGTAAAAAAGAAAAAAATAGTTAATATCGTATTCATAAACTGAAGTATGGTTAATCACATTTTTACTATATGTTACAATCCTCTCAAATGTTAGCACTTTATTTTCTATGTATTCACCCTCAACATATGGTGTGCACAGTACATAGGAATAAATGTTGCATGTTATAGTAATATTTCACTTTATCTGAATATATGAGAATGAGAATGAGTTTTTTTCAGATAACACTAATCCTTTTTAATTGCAATAATTTAAAAAAAAAAGAAAAGAAAAAACTTGTTTTAGTGGATCCCTTAGTTCCCTGCCTTATAGAACAAACTTCACTTATGCCATAAAATAGTGTTGCCTTCCAGAGGCTTCTTGAGAGGAAGGGCTAGCCTCTCTATCACCTGTTGGCTATTTAAAATTTGCTAATCTATTGCAAAATGAGAAAGAAATCTAGCCAAGATTATTTGAATTAAATACAAGAATAAATAACTCTTAATAAAGGACCAGAAAAGATTGCATATGAATAGGGTAACTATATGTTTACTGCCCAACATATGTGAGTGAATGGAGGTGCCATCAATGAATATATCAAAGCTGTAAACCAGTACTGTTCCAGGCACACGGGGTCATACTATATGTATGGATAGTGCATATATATTGTCCCATAACATTTCTTTGAATTGCAATCTGACTCTTGACAATACTCTAGAGAGTTTATTTGTTCATCTCTCCATCCATTCATTCTAAGGGAAGGGACAATTACCACCTGAGTCCTGTCAATACACAAAGATTTGTACTAGGCACTGAAAGTACACAAAAATGGAAAATGGCAGGAAGGGGGAAAGAAAGCACTCAGGGAAAGAACATAGAAGTTTTCTAAAAGTTCAGACTTCCAGATATGAGTAAGTAAGGTATTTCTGTAGCTGGTTTATTTTCAACTTGTAATCAAATTTCTAGGTTGCTGAACTGATCCTAGGTATATGACTGTTAAAATTTACTAGAGGCCTTTGATTTACTTCCCCAGACACGCCAGTTAGCTAACACTTTGGAACTGATTCCAGGCTACAACAAGAATTCAATGGAGACAGTCTTAGCTGAAGGGAAATACAACAGCAGTGTTAACACTCAGCCACAAAATATTTGGGGGTGGGGGATGATCATCAGAATTCTACCCTTCATTCTTAGGAGGTTCACACTGTCTTGATAGGCACTGAACACCAGGGTCTTTGAGACAGAGGTCACGAAATTGAGTGTTTCAAGCCTCATTAAAGAGTATGACAATTATAGAAAAGAGAAATGTACTGAAAATAGGCCAGGACACTTATTCCCAGACACAAATGACTATGTAGTTACCTCAACCTGTTAAAAAATAATTACCGGCCAGGTGTGGTGGCTCACGCCTGTAATCCCAGCACTTTGGGAGGCCGAGATGGGTGGATCACGAGGTCAGGTGTTCGACACCAGCCTGGCCAACATAGTGAAACCCTGTCTTTACTAAAAATACAAAAAATTAGCTGGGCATGGTGGCAGGAGCCTATAATCCCAGCTACTTGGGAGGCTGAGGCACGAGAATCACTGGAACCTGGGAGGTGGATGCTGCAGTGAGCCGAGATCGCGCCATTTCATTCCAGCCCCAGTGACAGTGTGAGACTCCATCTCAAAAAAATAAAAATAAATAATTACTATCCAGGGAAAAGACTTTGATATGAAGAGCCTTAGTCCTCACACTCAACCCAGCTAATGTTTGCAGAGAGGGCAAGATGTGGAAAGGAGCCTGAGGAGAAGGCTCTGATTCAGAGTCAGTATTCACTCTGCTAAGAGTTCTCTGCCATGGCCCTGAGTGTCTGATTACCGTCTCCCCTGAAAGGGAAATTTGCCAGGCCCTCCTTCAGAAGCTCATTCCTGGAAATGCTGCCTTGGGCAGGTCTGAACTCAGTCACAGTCAGATGCCACAAGAGCCACAAAATTACAAGACAATTGAGGAACCCCTGATGATACCCTGAAGGTGCAATGCAGGCTCACTGCCTGACTGTGGTCACTTTGAATTGATTCCTTAAAATTTTTGCTAGAAAAAGATGCTAGACTAGATGGCTTCCAATATCCCTCCGTCTGCAGCCAAGGAGGTTCCTTGCCTATCTCACATGCTGAGGAGGATAAGAGGGGAGGCACCTGATGGCCAAGCAGGTTCTGACTCTCATCCTCTGTGACTCTCTCTTTCTCAATGCAAATTCTGGAGCTAGGATGGTTGCTTCTGCTACCATCTGTCATAGCCCCACTGACCATCACATAGAGAAATCCCCCTTCTTTTTGTTCAATTAAGATAGACTTGGAGTTTTAAAAGGGTACTTTTTCTGTGCAATGAAGATGAAAACGAACCTAAAAGAATGAAACACCCACAAAAGCAGAGAAACAGGTAGAACACTAGCTCCCAAACCAGACTGCCCATCAGAATAACCTGCAGAACTTATTTAAGTGCATATTTCCAGACCCCAAACCCAACCTATAAATTAAACTTTCCAGGGACAAAGCCCGTGAATTGGTATTTGTATTAAAATCCTCAGATGATGTTTATGCACCAGCCATCACCATCTTTGGACCAAACATGGGAACCACTGCTCTAGCTTTTTGATCCTATGTAACTTAGTTGAGCCAAATCATCAGTGATACAATTTTGTTTTGTGGTAGCAGGGAGTGTTCAAACCACATCACAAAGAGATGCATGAAATTGTAGATAAGTTGTTACAAGCCAAGTGCCCCCTCTCAGTAAATAATAAAACAAGTCATATCTCAAAATACATGTACTGATATTATGACCATTATTAACAGAAAATGATACACTTTTAACACAATTTATTTTATAGACAAAAATTTTACATATTGAAGAATTTGGTTATATAGCATCCCTGATTCTTAGATATCTGGCCTCAGCATGACTATTTTGACTATTCCTAAACTCATCATTCCAAAGATGTCTCTATCCACTGATAAATAGCTCACATTGATAACATTTTCTTTGTTAAATGGGGTCTATATAGCTCTCAAAATTTTTCTGTGTTGCTCTTGTTTCTGCCCTCTAGAGGAACCTAGAATGAGATGACTTCTCTGACAATATTTCTCAAATTTTTGAAGACTACAGACATGATGTAATTTATCTTTTTTAGCCATCCTGCTCCATCATAACTTTTCACATGAACTGCCGTCAGTCAAGTTATTCCTTGACCATCCCGAATTACTTTCAGCCTGATTACTGGGTTTTCCAAGTGCTCTGATCTTTAGGGATTTATTTGCAACATATATTCTTTACCTGTCTGTATTAGTCAGGAAAGTCTAGGCTATGGTAATATATAACCATGAAATCTCAGTGACTTAAAATAACAAAGTTTATTTTTTGCTCACACTGTTTATTCAACAAGGCCAGCAAAGGGCTCTCCTCTACACAGTCACTCAGAGGCCGAGGTTGAGGTTGGCTTCAGTACTTTGTAGCTGTACCTTGTAAAATAGGAGCCCTTCACAATCACCGCAACAGCATAAGAGAACTAGAGCATCTCACACCATTTCATAAGTGTGTTGCCCATAGCCTGTTGGCTGGGAGCAGTTAGACAGCCAGCTATTAGCAAATGGTCTAAGTAATGTGGGGTGAATATTAAGTAATAGGTGAACATGTATGTCATTTATCTTTCCCACCTTTTTGCAGCTGAAGTATAATAAACATACTTTCTATACAGATTTCCAAGACATTGATTAAAGTTTTGCACAAGACAGGGTCATGGACAGGATTTAAGAGCACTACTTCAGAGGCTTCTTAAACTTGACATAATTTCTTTTGGTTGACAATGTCATATGTTGATGGTATAAAAAGCAATATAGGCCGGGCCCAGAAAAAATAATCTAGGACTTCCAGTCTTCCTTTTCTTCATCTTATCCTCCCTAACTTCAAAGTTCACATAGAATGGTATCACACACAGAAGTTCCTCCAGCATCCAGAGAGAGCAACCAGCACGTAGACAACAAAACCCACCAAACATGAAGTTACTACACAGGCTGTGCCAAAACCACTAAGTATGTTCCTTGTAAAATGGAGAGTAAAGGCCACCTAGATACTTATGCACCCAAGATCACACGTACCACTCCTCTCTCTAGGCAGAAACATTAACTATACACAGGAATTGTCATCATAATCACCATCAATTCTATAGGATTCCCAACAGATCTTAGTTCAAGTAACATGGCTCCTAGAAGTGAGAGCTGGAAAAAGCTTGAGATATGGAGTAGTTTAACTCCTTAATTCCAAATCCTTATGTGTATATATAATACACGTACCGTCTTAGTCCATTTGTTTTGCTAAAAAGGAATACATGAGGCTGGTAATTTATGAAGAAAAGAGGTTTTTTTCACTCACAGTTCTTTAGACTATGCAAGATGCATGGCACCAGTGTCTTCTGGTGAGAGCTTCAGACTGCTTCAATTCATGGTAGAAGGAGGAAAAGAAGCCAATGTGTGCATAGATCACATGGTAAGAAAAGCAACAAGGGAGAGAGGAGGTGGTACCAGGCTCTTTTCAACAACCAGTTCTCACGGGAACTAAGAATGAGAACTCACTTACTCCCATAAGAATGAAACCAAGCCATTTATAAGGGATCTATCCCCACAATCCAAACATCTCCCACTAAACCCCACCTCCCACACTGGTGATCAAATTTCAACATGAGGCTTGGCACCAAACAAACCATGTCCAAACCATAGCCACAGCCATACACATACAGTTCACCCACATAGTTAGGCCCAGGGAAGTGGGATGACATAGCACATCGTGCAGCAGAACAAGCATCCACGTCTCCTCGTCTTTGTTGCCATTGTCTTCTTTGTTCTTTCACAGGTAATGGTGATACATTCACCAGGTAATTCTCTACTACCATCCTGCCTCTGCTCATGCTGTTTCTACTGTCTGGAAGGCTTCCCTTACACCTCTAAGATTAGATTCTACTTACTCTTAAAGTTTAACTGCAATCTGGCCAGTATCTTTCTATATTTATCATATTATGACCCCTGTATCCATTAGCACAATAAGGACTTACAACTGTGAAAAATGAAAGAAGGGAAAAAAATTTTGCAAGGGTCTGAGCAGACTCATTACAATTCTCACAAGCTAATACCTCAGGGTTATTTTCACTCCCTATTTTATTGCCATGGTGAGCCCAGGAGAAAGTCTCTGCCGCTATCAAGACTGGATAGCTCAAAAGCATGGTCTCACCAACTGTGTCCACACAAAGAAACAAACAAGAGAAACATATCATGAGTGCACCTGAGATCCAAACAGTGCCTCTCACTTTAAGGAAAGTATCACTTGGTAAGATGGATTTTGGAGTATTATTGCTACAAAACATTCTAGAAAGTGTATTGTATGCATTCTAAATTTTTTCTAATAATTTTGCCTAAAGTATTTATAGGTGACATTTTGACTGTTCTTTTTCACAGACAGAAATTCCTAGAGAGTGAAAACTCCTACAAATATCTCTTGATCAGTGTTCACTTGGAGAACTCAGCTCCAAATATTGACATGGACTACCACTAACCTGCATTAAATTTTTAATTACTCTCAAATATTTCATACTCTTAGAACTATATCAGATACATTTCCTTGTAAATTTATAGTATAAATTTTAAATTTTATAAATTTAAATAAAATAATTTAAAATACCTTCCTATGACTCCAATATGCACTCCCACATTAGTAAGTTATGAGTGCTACAGAGTTATGCCAAGCTGCCCCGCCAGATAAATTTACTTCCAATTTAAGAAGCAGGATTCAGTAAATTAGTTCAACCATTGTGGAAGACAGTGTGGTGATTCCTCCAAGACCTAGAACCACAAATACCATTTGACCCAGCAATCTCATTACTGGGTATATACCCAAAGGAATATAAATAATTATATTGTAAAGATGCATGCACATGTATCTTCATTGCAGCACTATTCACAATAGCAAAGACATGGAGTCAACCCAAATGTCCATCAATGATAGACTGTATAAAGAAAATGTGATACATATAAATCATGGAATACTATGCAACCATAAAAAGGAACAAGATCATGTCCTTTGCAGGGACATGGATGGAGCTGGAAGCCATTATCCTCAGCAAACTAACACAGGAACGGAAAACTAAACACCACATGTTCTCACTTATAAGTGGGAGCTGAACAATGAGAACACATGGACACAGGGAGGGAAACAACACACACTGGGGCCTGTCAGGAAGGTGGAGGGAGGGAAGTATCAGGATAAATAGCTAAAGCATGAGGGACTTAAATCCTAGGTGATGGGTTGATAGGTGCAGCAAACTGCCATGGTGCACATTTACATATGTGACAAACCCCTGCAGGTCCTGCAAATGTATCCCAGCACTTAAAATTTAATTTAATTTAATTTAAAAAAATAAAATAACTTAGAAGTAAAAAAAAAAAAAGCAGAATTAGACTAAATTGATCATCTACATAGTTATTCCTACTCTGTATGTTAATTTTTGAAAGAAGGCAGAAATGTACATGTTCTCCTAGGTTATTTTCCCAAGACTATTTTAAGGGAAGCAGTTTATATGTGTCCATTCTTCTTTTTGCCACCTGAGTTTAAAATATTTATGGTATAAATAGCAATGATTTTTGCTTGTATTTACCTATCTTTTCTTTTTTTGGTTTGCTATGCTACACATTTATTTTCAAGATACAACAGAGATCAATAGCAACATTTCTAAGTCTAAAAACCTATTTTATATCAGAAATTTTAAGGGATAAGTAAAGTGTAATATTCTAATTAATTATCTTTATTTTCTGGCATTGATGTTATAGAAAATGACCATCTAAAACCTGTAATAGGTAGATACTTTAAACTAAATCTATAGCAGTGAAAACATTTAGAAGGTGGCACATGACATTCAGGGATGCAGCCTTCCAAATATAAAGATTCCTTAGCTTACAACCACTAACTAGGTTAGGAATCAAAGCTAAGAAATAAGGAGATGGTGGCAATCAAAATGAAACTGGCAATCAGAGAGGATCTATGTGTTCTAGAGGTCTCAAAAGTCAGAAATTATTAACCAGCCTCCTAGCAATGGCTTTTTCCTTGAGAGGCTTAAAATCTACTAAGTGAAGAAACACACATTCTCAAATTAGCAAAGAGACAAATTAGAGAGGCAAAGAGGACTTGAAACAGTCAGGTGTTTTTAGGAAGCAGTTAGCACTTCAATATGACTGGACCATAGGATGAAAAAGAATGTAGGAAGAGATGAGGCCAGAGAATTCGACAAGGGCTTCATCATGCAGGGTTTGGCGCTATCATATAGAAGTGCCTGGACTTTATCCTAAAATGATAGGATGCTATAGAAGAGTTTTAAGAAATAAAAGAGATAATATTAGATGTTAGTTTTAAAATAATAACTCATCCATAGTTTTCTAAATTGTTAAACTGCATATTGTATAATAACATTTTAAGTAAGTCTACATGTGTTCGTATGTATACATGATTTATACACACAGAAAAATGATCATATCTAAAATAAATTTAGTAGTTACCACCATGGAATGGCTTTGAGGTTAAGAGGGAAGACTTTTAACTTTGTAAATACATTATTTGAATTTCCAATATATACATCTATTTGCTTTTTAAATTAAAAATAAAGCTCACTCTGGCAGCAGCATTGATGTGCAAGACTGGAGTTGAAGAAACCAATTAAGAAGCTATTGCAATTTAATTGTCCAAATGATAGACAGTGGGAATCTAAACAGAAACCGTGGCATCTGGGAAAGAGAAAGGAAGAAGTGGATTTGAACTGTAGTAAGGATGTAAACTAAGGAACTTAGTAGCATTGACTGTGAGAAAATGAAGGAGTAAGAGGTTAGAATAACTTACAGGTTTCTAACTGAAATGACTCAGCTACCAGCCTAGGAAATATAGGGTCAAACATAGACTTTGTGGAAACATATACCTTCAGGTTTGGAAATGTTAAGTTTAAAACATTGATGGGGCATCCAAGTGGGAATGGTCTTGTTGGAGAATCAGGTTTATATGCCTGGGGCTACAGGAAAAAGCTGGCCTGGTTAGTACAGAGCTGCGTGTAAAAGCCAGTTGTTATGTATATCAGGTAGTCTCCTGGCGAGAATCAGAATGAACCCAGATGCTCCAAATGCAGAGGTGATTAATAACAGCAGTGTGAGAAATAGGAACAAACCAGGAGAATGAGGCACCCAGAAGCTAGCAATGGTGGGAAGCTGCTACCACCCCTAGGGCCAAGGGAACAAGAGAAAGAAATAAAGTACTGGAAACAACTGAGAACTGAAACCATGGAAAGAGAATACTTGCTCAAATTTTGAGTAGTAAAGAGAGAGATACCATCATTGCCAAGCATCCCCAAAGCAGAGATGAAGCAGGGAAGAAATACTCTGGCTTCTCTCTCCTCCATTCTCCTGACTCCTGTTGGCCAAATGCAACCAGAAGGAAGACAGAGTTCAAAGGAGTTTGGATGATGCGATTCACAGAGACCAACCACCTGGCGCACAGAGGTAGGCAGAGGTGTGCTGAGAATGAGTCTGCAAGAGAACAAGCACCATCACATGGACTCCTAGTCAATGATCAGCTCACTCCACTAAGTCATTTCTCTGGGGAAACTACAGTGATCTGGGGGAAGGAGAAGAAACTGGTATGAATGAAGTAGTTACAAAGAACCTAATGGCAGCACTATTCCATCCTGGACTCGGGAACCGTTGAGACTTGGGCTCCAATCCCTACTTTGCCACTTGCAGGCCCTATCACTGGAGGCAATTTAAATTTCTCTGTCTTCACGTGTAAAGTGAAGATAAAAATGCTGCTGAATTTACAGAATTATCATGAGGATTAAGTTACCCATTTTGTGTAAACATTTAATCCAATGCTTGTTACAAAGCAAGCACTTGGTGAATGTTAAAAGGAGGAGATGACAATGACTGTGAGTGGGAATGGTCACTAATTCAGATCCTAAAAAGAGTAGGATGAGCCAGAGTACACAGAGCTTTTCAAGGTACAGTCTGAATGATAGGTAAGATTTAAGGAAATGCATAGGGAGATGCATGCATGCATAACTAAGGACATAGAGTTGGGAGTAGCATATTGTGTGCAGAGGACCATAAGGAGAACTGAGTGAGTATGCAGTCTCACTTACTTTCATGTCATTTATTTTTTCTTTTTTTACTTTTGAGATGGCATCTTGCTCTGTCACATGGGCTGGAGTGCAGTGGCATGATTTTGGCTCACCAGCAACCTCCCCCTTCTGGGTTCAAGTGATTCTCCTGCCTCAGCCTCTCAAGTAGTTAGGTACACAGGCACACATCACCATGCCCAGCTAATTTTCCTATTTTTCAGTAGAGATGGGGTTTTACCATATTGGACAGGCAGGTCTTGAACTCCTAACCTCAAGTGATCCTCCCACCTCAACCTCCCAAAGTGCTGGGATTACAGGCGTGAGCCACCATGCCCGGCCTCTCATGCCCTTGCTAAGAGTTAGTATTAGAGACACCCCGCATGCACATTATCCTGTCTTCTGTGCCTTGTAGCCATCAGCCCTCATTTCTATGCTAAGATATTGTTTTTGAATATCTTGATAGGCTTTTCCCTTCAGAAGTGGAGTACAATTTTGCAAGCTGAAGTAACATATTAAAAAGACAAACCTGTGGAATAAAAGCTCTCTAAGATTTTTATCAGAGTAAAAAATGTAATTCAGAGAGGCTAGCCCAAGACCTTATTTTCAGAAAGATTTCCTTGACAAAAAGTGGTTCCTTAGTATTGTCCAAATGCCTTTAACTTCCAACAGCAAAATTCTAACCTACTGTCTCTTCTCATGTTTCCTAATATCTGCCTCACCTTATACCATAGTTTTTGCAAGTATAGTCATGTTAACTTCCCTAATGTAGCGTAAGATCATTAGGAGACAGACATGTCCTCCCACCTCCCTCTTATCCATCACAGCTGTGGTTCTCAAATGCAAACCTGCACCAAAATCAGGTGGGACACTTGCCAAAGTTATAGACTGAAAGACCAGGTGCTTCAATTCTGTCAGTCTGCAATGAGACACAGAGGTCTAATTTTTAAGTTTTCCAAGGAATTAAGAAATGTATACATTTAGAGGAAACTCTGATACCCAACTACCAGGGCATCCTCTCCCATGCCTATACGCAATGGCTAGTACAGAGGGAAGGGGAAAGAAGTGCCTCAATTAGAAGAAAGAGGCAAGAGCAACCAATAAATGTGCATGCCAATATGTTGTCTTCTATTCTGAATACACAAAAATGCTGACAATGCTTAGGCATGGTAGTGACATAGTAAGGTAAATGTCATGCATAAACCATTTTGGCTATCAGAGAGAAGATGCCCTACCAGAAATGGGAGATAACTTCTGAGGCTGAGCAGTAATTTTTGTCAAACTATGAGGTGAGTCTGAATTACAGTGGAGGTTGAGAGGAAGAAAGAGATATGAACATTTTCAGCTAGAATAAGTGACTGGAATTAATAATTAGCTAGATGTATAGAGCAAAGGAAGGAAGAAGTGACAAATAACTGCTGTGTTTCTGACTTGGGGGCACAAGTGGTTAGAATATAGACAGAGGGATTATAGAAAGAGTAACAGATTTGGGGTTGGATAAGTTGTTTATAGGAAGGATGTTGGCCAAATGATTAAGTTGACTTTCGTTACCCAATATCATACCCAGGTAATTCTATATCAATTGATACATGAACCTCAGAAGAAGAATCTGGGCCCTAGGTTTAAATGTGGAGGTTACTGGCATATAGACATGGGTGAAGCCATACTTGTAGCAAGATGCTCCAGGGAGCATATTTCAATAAAATGAAATAGAGTACTAAGGAAGGAAGATACCTGTGGATCAAGTTGAAGATGAACGGTAACCAAAGGAGACTGGGAAAGAGTAACTAGAGAGGATTAGAGAATAAGTCTGCTTAGTTCCCTTTTAAATCTAAATTCTTGGCTAGTGGCTGATGCCTGTAATCCCAACACTTTGGGAGGCCGAGGCAGGCGGGTCACCTGAGGTCAGGAGTTCGAGACCAGCCTGGCCAACATGGCAAACCCCTTCTCTATTAAAAATACAAAAATTAGCAAGGCATGGCAGGGGTGCCTGTAATCCCAGCTACTCGAGAGGCTGAGGCAGGAGAATCACTTGAACCCAGGAGGTAGAGGTTGCAGTGAGCCGAAATTGCGCCACTGAACTCTAGCCTGGGTGACAGAGCAAGACTCTTTCTTTAAAAAAAAAGAATCGAAATTCTTATTAGTACATTCTAGACGTTGGTAGGGAATTGAAATTAAGTTTCTCCCCCAGTAGTTTGTAAAAGACATTCTTTTTCTCCTTTTAAATTTCAGGATATTTGCCCATCTGGTTTCTGGCATCTATCCCATTCTCTATAATTTCTGAAAGATTACCAGCAGGTTGTATGCAAGCCATCGTAATTTTTATAGCAGAAAATCTCTTCTCCTCTTAGGTGAAACAAGAAGCTTTAATTTTCCCTTACCTAAATGCCACCAAAGGAAAGAAGCCACTTAATTATTTGTCTTTTAAAACATGTTTTTCATTGCATTTGCAAAGGTTTACAAGGAATACATCTAGTGCTTAATTGCTTGTGGCTAGGGAATACAATCATTCTTCTGGAGTCTACCAAGTATTTATTGTGATTGCCTCAGCCTAGGTTTCAGCTCATACCAGGAAGACTGAAACTAATTGGACCCAAGCCCCAAAGCTGTTAAAGAATGGCAGAATCATGTTGAAAAACAGGGGTTATGTCAAGCCTTTGACACTGTAGGGGTTTGTTAATGTATTTTTCGGCGTGGCTAGAAAAAAAAAAACTGATTGACAGAACTCATTCTTTGCCACATAATTATCTACTTCTTTGTTGACCCATCTGGTCCCCTTAGCAGTGTGCTCATACCATAATAAAACAATCAGGTTAAATTCATCTTCTGGTGATCAGTGGTTAATATGGTTTCATACAAATTATCCTGAGATTGTGAAGCCTTTTCTATTAAAACTGTAAAGAGAGCACTAGCTATTGACAGGGCTTATCCCAATATTTGGGTGTGCGGATAAGAAATTATAAACTCTTTTGGCATCTTTTAAACTGACAGCATCTTTTACAGAGAACTATTTAAATCCAACAGCTCCTTTGTAACTTCTTGCTTATCTCTAATATTTATTACAAATATAAAATTGTCAATTTTTCCCACCTGATCGCTACTTAAAACCACACAGTAGTTCTTATTATTAGAATAAAAATCTTACTAAAAGAGAGAATATAAGGAATTATTTTTAAGAAGTCAATACCTGTGGCTGTTAAAGAGAAGAAAGGGAAAAAGTATGGCAAAACCTCCCAGAACTCAGCAGGAAAAGGGCCCTAAGCTGCAAAAAGAGAGCACTTGTCTCTGAGACAAGTGCTATCTTCAGCTATTCTACTTCCTAGATGGATATTGATTTCCGTTCTCAATATTCAGATTCAGAATCTCATCCTCTCCTTCCTAAGACCTTACTTAGTAGACACTTCAAACTGACTCCTCTTCCCAAATCACAGATCTGATCATATTGCTTCCCTATGCAAGCTTCTTTAATGATTTCCAATCACTTATAAAATTCTGATTTCCTAGAAAGTCATTAAGGCCTTCCATATTCTTGTGCCTACCTACACTTGATACATCCCTCATAGGCTGGAACCTCCAGCTACCCTAAAAGACTCACAGGTCTTGGAGCCTGCCAGGCTCCATCATGCCTCAGTGTCTTCACCATGAAAATATTTCAGTCTCCAATTGTCTTTTCCACAGTTTGCTTTGTTAAATCCCATTCAACAATCACTTTGGTGAATAGTTTGACATTATCAAATAAAATCATTCAGATGCATTCATGCCTTATGACTCAAAAATATTATTCTCAGATATATGATCAAGAAAAATACATACACGTGGACAACAAAAGATAGGTACCTGAAATGTTCATGTCATCATTATTTGTAGCAGCCAAATGTTGAAAATAATCAAATTTTCATTAACAGTAAAGTGGATAAACTAATATATATATATGAAATGGAATACTACAGAGCAATAAAAATTAATGAAGAGTTGCAATATGCAACAAAACTGACCACTCCTAGAAACAAAATGTAGAACCAAATAACCCAATATGAAAGCATATATACTGTGTGATTTCATTTACATAAAATTCAAGTATAGGTAAAACTAGTCTGCAATGTTAAATATCAAGTGTATTAGTCTGTTCTCATGCTGTTAATAAATACATACCCAAGACAGGGTAATTTATAAAGAAAAGAGGTTTAATTGATGCACAGTTCCACATGGAGCTGAGAAGAACTCACAATCATGGCAGAAGGCAAATGAGGAGCAAAGTCACATCTTACATGGGGGCAGGCAAGAGAGCACGTGCAGGGGAACTCCCCTTTATAGAACCAGATCTTGTGAGACTTATTCACTATCACAAGAATGGCATGGGAAAAATCCACTCCCATGATTCAATTACCACCCACCAGGTCCCTCCCATGACACATGGGGATTATGGGAGCTACTAATTCAAGACGAGATTTGGGTGGGGACACAGTCAAACCATATCATTCTGCCCCGATCCCTTTCAAATCTCATGTCCTCAGATTTCAAAACCAATCATTCCTTCCCAATAGGACTCCAAAGTCTTAACTCATTTCAGCATTAACTCAAAAAGTCCACAGTCCAAAGTCTCATCTGAGACAAGGCAAGTCTCTTCCACCTATGAGCCTATAAAATCAAAAGTAAGTTAGTTACTTCCTAGATACAATGGGGGGTACAGGTATTGGGTAAATGCATCCTTTCCAAGTGGGAGAAATTGGCCAAAATGAAGGGGTTGAAGGCCCCATGCAAGTCTGAAATCCAGCAGGCCAGTCAAATCTTAGAGCTCCAAAATGATCTCCTTTGACTCTGTCTCTTACATCCAGGTCATGCTGATGCAAAAGGTGGGTTCCCACAGCCTTGGGCAGGTCTGCCTCTGTGGCTTAGCAGGATACAGCACCCTCTGCCCCCCACCAGCTGCTTTCACAGGCTGGCATTGAGTGTCTGCAGCTTTTCCAGGCAAATGGTGCAGGCTGTCAGTGGATTTACCATTCTGGGGTCTGGAGGACAGTGTCCCTCTTCTCACAGATCCACTAGGCAGTGCCCCAGTGGGGACTCTGTGTTGGGGCTTGCACCCCACATTTCCCTTCACACTGCCCTAGCTGATGTTCTCTATGAGGGCCCCACCCCTGCAGCAAACTTCTGCCTGGACTTCCAGGCATTTCCATACATCCTCTGAAATCTAGGCAGAGGTTCTCAAATCTCAGTTCTTGACTTCTGTGCACCACAGGCTCAACACCATATGGAAGCCACCAAAGCTTGGGACTTGCACCCTCTGAAGCAACGGACTGAGCTCTATATTGGCCCCTTTTAGCCATGGCTGGGCCACAGGCACCAATCCTGAGACTGCACAAAGCAGGAAGGCCCTGTCCCCAGCCCACTAAACCATTTTTCCCTCTAGGCCTCTGGGCCTGTGATGGGAGGGGCTGCTGTGAAGACCTCTGACATGCCCTGGAGACATTTTCCCTATTGTCTCAGTGATTAACATTTGGCTCCTCATTACTTATGCAAATTTCTGTAGCCGGCTTGAATTTTTCTTCAGAAAATGGGTTTTTATTTTCTATCACATCATCAGGCTGCAAATTTTCCAAACTTTAATGCTCTGCTTCCTCTTGAACACTTTGCTCCTTAGCAATTTCTTCTGCCAGATACCCTAAATCATTTCTCTCAAGTTCAAATTTCCACAGATCTCTAGCACAGGGGCAAGATGCTTCCAGTCTCTTTGCATAGCAAGAGTGACCTTTACTCCAGTTCCCAACAAGTTCCTCATCTCCATCTGAGACCACCTCAGCCTGGACTTCATCGTCCATATCACTATCAGCATTTTGGTCAAAGCCATTCAACAAGTCTCTAGGAAGATTCAAACTTTCCCACATCTTCCTGTCTTCTGAGTCCTCCGAGTCTCTAGGAAGTTCCAAATTTCTCACATTTCCTATCTTCTTCTGAGCCCTCCAAACTGTCCCAATGTCTGCCAGTTACATAATTCCAAAGTTGCTTCCACATTTTGGGATATCTTTACAGCAGCACCTCACTCCCGGTACCAATTTGCTGTATTAGTCTGTTCTCATGCTGCTAATAAAGACATACCTGAGACAGGGTAATTTATAAAAGAAAGAGGTAAAACTGACTCACAGTTCCACATGGCTGGTGAGGCCTCACAATCATGGTGCAAGGCAAATGAGGAGCAAAGTTACATCTTACATGGTGGCAGGCAAGACAGCTTGTGCAGGGGAACTCCCCTTTATAAAACCATCAGATCTCATGAGACTTATTCACTATCATGAGAACAGCATGGGAAAAACCCACTCATTATCTCCCACCAGGTCCCTCCCATGACATGTGGGAATTATGGGAGCCACAATTCAAGATGAGATTTGGGTGGGGACATAGCCAAACATACCATCAGGATGGTGGTTACTTTTAGGGAGGAGGGGTGGATAATAATTAGGACAAGGCAGGAAGGAGCTTCTAGATGCTTGAAATGTTTTGCTTCTATTTCAGAATAATTCATCAACCTGTACACTGAAAGTGTGTGCAAATTTCCATATGTATATTACACATCAGGAAGAAGTTTTTTGTTTAATTTCTGTTTTTAAAAGTCAAGATCAAGCAGTATCTTTTTCCATAAAGCCTCAGCTGATTTCTCCCATTTAGAATCACTTGTCTCTTTCTTTGGGTTCCCTTTGGGCCTGATTTTTTCTCTCTCAAGGTATTTAATTAACATGCCTTGAATTTTAAGCATTATGATAACTCATATGACATAGATTAGGTAATTCAAAAAACCCTTATCAAATGAAGTAAAGAAATAGAGATAACTGGAAAGAAAAATGTGGCAACTCCTTCATATCAGCTTTATTTAAATCTGGGTTTTGGTTGATCACTCAGCTTAGCAATGGTGCATAAAACAATTGTCCTTGCTACGTCCTTCTGCTGAAGGGAGTAGCAACGACAATTCCTTTCTCCACCTTTCTTCTTATCCAGCTGTGCAATGTTGTTGTTTGTTGTTTTGGTGAAACAGGCTGCAACATGGTGTATGTTTCCAAATATTGGGAAACAATGAGCAAAGCCACCTAGCAAATTAAGAATGTTATTGCTTTGTGCCTTCAATTTTTTTAAACAGGGGGATGATTCAGGAAATGGTTCAACTAAGCCATCTCCAGGAGCTGAGCAATTATATTAAGTCCCCAGCCAGAGTTTTTGTGGCATATGGCGTAAAGCTGCCAGGTTAATCTATACTTAACAAACCCAGATCTGCAGGAACTCTTTCTATTACTCATATCCTCAGAATCACCTATAATTCTACTAGAAATACTCATCTCACTGCTTCTTGTAGTCCCGTGTGACCACTATACTAGATTCCCAGGGACATTTGTAAATTGCCTTGATACCATTTAGATATCACCGTCTTTCCCAGAGCAAACAGCCTTCCTGAGGCTGAGGTTTTCATAGTCACAGAGCAGTCCTAGATGGCTGCATTCTTAACATTCTGAGCTCAGGTCTGTCTTCCCTCTTCCTGGCTCCACCACATCAAGACGCATATGATACACTCACTGGGGACAAACTGTGTCATTCCCCACAGTGCTTTGCCCATTGTAGGTAGTTGTTTCTTGACCTATTAGATGAAATATGGAATAAGGCGAAAATCATTTTTATTTCCTTGGCTCAGTTTTTCAAAGTATGTAAAATGAGCAATTACTCTTCTGAGCTAGAAAGATGCTCTCAGCTTTGAAAGGTCCCAATTGAAATTTTTTATTTACTCAATTGCCACTTTTTAAAAATGGAAAGAGAGAAAGAAAGAAAAAGAAAAAAGATTTTCAAAGTTGCTCTCAGCCAGGTTCTCCAAAGCCTGGAAGAATGTGTCCATTTGGTGACATGTGACCACCAGTGTATTTAATTAATCCATTAGAAATTTTCATCCAGGCTTTTAATAATTTTATTTTATCTGCTCCTTGCTCCTTACTACTGCATCACAAAGTCTTCCCTGACTCTTCTTGTCTATTTCCTTTCAACAGATTTAAAGGCAATCTTGAGATTTCTTTTCTGGAATATTTTCCCTCAGAAACAGTAGAATTGAATTCCCACTGTTTATATCAGCCTGCTTTTTTTTCTCCAAGCTACCCTTTGGATGGGGCCTCCTAGTTAAAATGCTACATTTCTAAGCTACTAAATCCTATTTGTCTAGTCACAGGGCACTTTGCTACACCACTCCTCCATTGTTTTTATCGTTTTAAACAGGAGCCCATCTTCCCTTAGGCAGTACAAGCACTGGGCTTTTTGGTCATGCTAGCTGCTATAACAAACAAATCTCCACTGTTCAATGGCTGAACTCAACAAAACTGTATTTGATGCTTATATTGGTGTGTGTTACATAGGAAAGGTGCAGGTCAGCAAGCAGCATTCCTCCAATAAGTGATTCAGAGAACCAGGCCCTCTCTGCTTTGGTGAGGTGTCATCTTCTGGGGCCTTGAAAACCTCTGTATCCAATCAGAGGAAGAGAAAAGAGTGAAGAAGACATATGACTTTATTAAAAAAAACAAAAAAACAAAAAACAGAAGCCTAAAAGTTATAGGCCTCCTCCTGTTCACATGCCCTGGCTGGGTAACTGTCTCCCAATAACACTACCAAATTATGAAAAGGTAAGCATGGAATTTTGTGGAGAGTTAACCAACTCTACCATGGTGCCATGACATTGGTGCCACAAAGGTCTTCTCAATTTCTTAAATGATTTATAACCTTATTCTCTTACAACTTCATCATTAAATGAAATACTTTTTAGAAATTATTATATGACAGTCACAGTACTGGGCCATGGGAATGCAAAGATGTGATCTTTGATTTCAAGGATCTCACATTTCATTCTAAAGAAAATATAGATATTTAATCAGTAAAAGAATGTGACTGAACACCCATGCTGATGCTCATAATTTAGTGAAGAACGGAGATATTAAATAATTACTTACTGTATAAGTGATTAGAGTATAGAAAAAGAGAAATACCAGGGGATATGGAAGGAAAACAGGACTTAATTTGGTGGGAAGGTTGAGGAAGTAAAGCATCATGAACAAAAAGATTTTTATGAGGAAATACTCTTCACAGATGGGCCAATCCTTTAGTTGATTGGTCTTCAACGTTTTGCTCACTTTTCCTCAAAAATAATTTTGAATTAATATAAATTCACATTTTAAGTTGAATCTGAAGTTTCTCCATTATAAATTGACATGAGCAAGCTTAACTTTGTCAGAAATGTTTTCTTCCTCCACAAATTCACATTTTTATTACATTTATTGCTTAGAATTTCAGGTGTTTTTTGCTTGAAAGGTTTTTTTTTTTGGTCGGGGGGGATGTAGTCTCGCTCTGTAGCCCATGCTGGAGTGCAGTGGCACGATCTCGGCTCACTGCAAGCTACTCCTCCCAGGTTCATGCCATTCTCCTGCCTCAGCCTCTCGAGTAGCTGGGACTACAGGCGCCCACCAGCACGCCCAGCTAATTTTTTGTATTTTTAGTAGAGACGGGGTTTCACCGTGTTAGCCAGAATGGTCTTGATTCCCTGACTTCGTGATCTGCCTGCCTGGGCCTCCCAAAGTGCTGGGATTACAGGTGTGAGCCACTGGGCCCGGCCTGTTGTTTTTTTAAAAAATAATTTCTCACCCTATAACACGTCTTTGCAACTACTATACTTTTGTAAGTTCAAATTCAATTTTTAAAATATTTTAAATATTAGACAAAGTGTTGACGGCTGTTTTCTGGATTATTATACTATCAGTATATAATTGATGGAGGTGGAGAACAGAAATCATCATCACTAACTATCAGGTTGTGATGAATGTTTTACTATAAAGGAGAGGCATGAGGAAATTTTAGGGGGATGAAGGATTGTTTCCGTATCTTGACTGTGGGGTAGTTACATGACTCTATAAATGTATCAAAATTTATAGGACTCAATACCAAAAAAGAATAAATTTAAAAAATAAATGTACACAAATTTTAAGAGATAGTGTTAACATCTGGCCATTTCTCCTTGCAGCTATTTTCTTTGTTCCTTCTGAAACTCCACAGCTTGCATCTTAGCAAAAGTGTAATTTATCTCTAAGATCTTCTCTTTGAAAATATTTTTCTCAATATTATATATATTTTTCTCACATTACTGCTAGCAGCTTACATAGATCAGCAAATCTTGAAAAGTATACTATTGGTATTGCCCAGTTGAAAAGTTTACTTTCCTCTTGTTTGATAGATTAACATTTGCTTTGTTTTTTTTGTTACAGTCCAGCATTCTTTTTATTTCCACTTGACTCTACACCATAGGCTTTTTTTTCTTGAAATTAAGAATGACTTGAGAACTTGATTTTTAATGACCACTTAGCATTCCATTATATGAATCTAACAATCTATTTAACAAATCCCTTAGTGTTGGGGAATATAAATAAATAGTCTTCATATTTGGTTGTTCTAATATTTTTTGTTATTATATGCAACACTGCTAGGAACCGCCTTGGAAATAAATCTTTGTGAACATTTCTAGTGATTTCCTTAGGATAAATTGTTATAAATGGAATTGCCTTATCAAAAGGTATAAACATAAACCCTTTGATCCACATAAATAAATGACTTTACTGATGGTTGTGACAATTCACACTCCCTCCATAAAGTTGAAGAGTTTATTTTCCTCAGAACCATTGCCAGCCATAAGTACTATGATTTTTTTAAAGCTTAGTTAAGATGACGAGTAAAATATACGTCTCACTGTTTTAATTTTTTTATTACTAGTGATGTTGAAATTTTTCATATATTTATGGGCTGTTTGTAGTTTCTTTAGTTTTACTAAAAATAATTTCAACTTTTATTTTAGATTTGGGGGGTACATTTGCATGCTTGTTACATGGGTATATTGTATAATACAAAGGTTTGGGATACAAATGGTTTCATCACATAGGTAGAGAGCATAATACCTAACAGTTTTTTAACCCTTGCCCCTTTCCCCTTCCTTTCCCCTCTAGTAGTCCCCAGTATCTATTTTTGTCATCTTTATATTTGTGAATATCTAATGTTTAGCTCTCACTTATAGGTGAGAACATGTGGTATTTGGTTTTTCGTTCCTGTATTAATTTGCTTGTGATAATGGCCTCCAGTTGCATCCATGTTGCTGCAAAGGACATTATCTTCTTCTATCTTATGGCTGCATTATACTCCATTGTGTATATGTATCACATTTTCTTTATCCCATTCACCATGGATGGGTACATTAGGTTAATTCCTTGTCTTTGTTATTGTGACTAGAGCTGAGGTGAACATGCAAGTACTATGTGTTTTTAATAGAATGATTTACATTCTTTAGGATCTGTACTCAGTAATGGGATGCTAGGTCAAATGGTAGTTCTAAGTTCTCTGCGAAATCTGCAAACTACTTTCTACAGCGGCAGAACATTACCACCAACAGTGTAGAAGCATTCCCTCTTCTCTGCAGCCTTACCATTATCTGTTGGTTTTTGACTTTTATTAATAGCCATTTTGACTGCTGTGAGATGGTATCACTTTGTAGTTTTGATTTGCATTTCTCTAATGATTAGTGATGTTGAACATTTTTGTGTGTTTCTTGGTCCCTTGCTGTGCCTTCTTTTGAGAAGTGTTTGTTCATGTCTTTTGTCTACTTTTGAATGAATTTATTAATATTTGTCTTTTGCTTGTTATGTTTCTTACAGTTCTGGTGAGCAGACCTTTGTTGGATGCATACTTGCACTATTGCAAATATTTTCTACTATTCTGTAGGTTATACAGGCTGTCTACCTTTTAAGTGGGGCATTTAGACCATTTACTTTCAAGGTTAATATTGATATGTGAGGTTTTGACCCTATCGAAAAGTTTTTAGCTGGTTGCTTTGCAGTTTCTACTGTGTGATTGCTTTATAAGGTCTGTGGGATATGTACTTAAGTGTGTTTGTGGTAGCAGGTATTATTCTCTTGTTTCCATATTTAGAACTGTCTTAATGATCTTTTATAAGGCTGATCTAGTGGTAAAAGATTCCCTTAGTGCATGCTTGTCTGGAAAAGATTTTTTTTCTCCCTTGCTTATGAATCTTAGTTTGGCAGGATATGAAATTATTGGTTAGAATTTACTTTCTTTAAGAATGCTCAAAATAGGCCCCCAATTTCTCCTGGCTTTTAAGGTTTCTGCTGAAAAGTCTGCTGTTAGCCTGATGTAGTTCCTTTTGTATGCGATATACCCTTTTTCTCTAGGTGCCTTTAAGCTTTTCTTCTTTAGTGTTGACCTAGGAATGTCTGGTGACTATATGCCTTAGTAATGTTAATTTTGTATAGTACCTCCCAGTCATTTTATAGATTTATTGTATCTGGATATCCACCTCTCTAGCAAGATTAGGTGAATTTTCTTGAATTATTCTCTCAAATATGTTTTCCAGGATATTTACTTTTTCTCCTCCAGTCTCAGGAATGCCAATAATTTGTAGGTTTGGTCATTTTGCATAATCCCATATTTCTTGAAAACTTTGCTCATTTTTAAAATTCTTTTTTCTTTATTTTTGTCTAACTGGGTTAGTTCAAAAGATGGGTCTTTAAGCTCTGAAATTCTTTCTTCTGCTTGGTCCAGTCTATTGATAAAGTTTTTGATAGTATTTTGAAATTCCCTAAGTGAATTTTTCAATTCCAGAAGCTCTGATTGACTTTTTTAAACAAGTTTATCTCTTTCTTCATTCCTGGGTTGATGTAGAAGTTTTTATGTTGACTTTCAGTCTTGTCTTGGACCTTGTTGAGCTTCCTTGCAATCCATGTTTGAATTTTCTGTCATTTCTAAATTTCCATTTCAGTTAGGAATCATTACTGGAGAGCTAATGTGCTCTTCTTTGGTGGAGTCTCTATATTCAGATTTTTTTTATGGTGTCAGAATTCTTGTACTGGTTCCTTCTCATCTGGAGATACTGGCACTTCTGATTTTTGTAATTATTTTCATGCAGGTAGGAATTTTTTCTTTCTTTCCATATAATATTATTAGTTATTTTTTCTTTCTCTTTCTATTCATCACCCTCCCTAGGCAGTGTGATTATAGAGGATTTTGGATAGGTTGTTTGGCTTTGCATTTATTGCTCTATGCACTTCTTTTGTCAGGTTTTGAATTGGGTTGCACAATTTGACCTAGAGGCCAGTAGATGACACTTATGGATAAGAGCCAGCTGCAGCCAATGTGGCTGGTTATGTACTTGATGTTTACTGGGAGAAGTTCTCCGTAGCCTCTGACAATGGGCTGATCCATGGAGTGCACAGTGGCCTGAGCTCCCTGTTTAGCCCCGGGGGAAGGCGAAAGATGGTTGGGGCCAGACTAGGCAGGCCAACCTACATGTCCCTGGCAATGGCAGGCTCATACCTGCAACAACAGAGAATTTAGTGGGTAGCTACTAAATGCCTAGGCATGGAAATGAGAACCTCTTTGGCCCCAAGTTCTTTGCATCAGTGGAGGGGACAGCAGCCTAAACTAATCCAGGTGAATGAGTATTACAATTGCCTGGAGATCTGCCTGGGCATGGAGTGGAGAGGGCCCCACTGCATCACGATCTATGCAGAGGAAGGGTGGGGTGGCTCAGGCTGCTGATCTAGGTGAGTGGGTGCTTTGAATGTCTGGAGATCTGCCTGAGAGTGGAACAGAGAGGGCCCCACTGTACTGCAATCTATGCCCTGGAACTCTTAGGGGCTGAGTTTGTATGGGTTCAGATTAAAAATAACAGCCTGCTCTTGGTCCTAGGTCTAGGAAAATGTGGCTTTTCCCAGTGTTTTTACCTTACAGTAACTCCAAGTGTAGCCCCAAGTTGGCTCCCAGGCTTGGGAGAAACAAAGTGCTCTCCCTTGTCTTGGGTTGCTCAGATCCCCCAGTGGAAAGGTGAATCACAGAGGGAGGCTCTCTGCCTCTCTCACATCCTGGGGCTTCGCTCACTTTTAGCAGCTGGATGCTGTCAAGGGGGCTGTTTGCCTGCATTCTCCTCCCTGGTATTTGGGGTGTGTCCTTCATGATTCCAATGAATTTCCTTTTTCCTTTTTGAATTAAAGCTCACATGGTTGAACTTTATGCACTATCTTGCTATTTCCAAGGCTGAAGAACACTAAAAGCCTCTAATCAGCCATCTTGGGGAAAAAAAATGAACTAGCATTTGAAAAGAAGCTAAGTAGTACAAGTGACACAGGAAATATTATACAATAAAAGAAAAAATAAAGTATGGTTACTTTTCAGTGCTTTTTAGCAAATCAGTCTTTGAAACATTATTTAAATTCTAAGCATTACATTAGGACTTCAGATATTTTCCCCCAAGACCTTGATTTAAGCCTGTTTCACCTCAATTGCTCAACTGTTCTTTCCATTACTTTTTATATACTGTAGATCTCAGAATTTTTATAAATAAATAAGGATTCGTCTCTGAGTTGTACAGTGGTGAAAACAAATATTGTGTTTAGATAATATTGTATTACTCAGCCTGATGGGTCAACTGTTTCACCATCATGGAGCTGATGTCAGCAGCCATATTAATAAGCTGTCACTCCATAACTAACTTACTATTCAACTGATTTGTAAAATATAGTATTAACTGCATAATTCTATAATCCCAACATTTTGGATTGACTGTATAATACCAACATGGTGGCCTGGGCTCAGGTCTCGCACACTTTACTTCAGAGTTACACAGATATTGAGAGCTAATTTGCCAGCAACCTCTTTACTGGGGTCCAAGTTCACAGTTCTACAGAGCTTCATAGTAGATATAATTACTTATCAACTATACAAAGTGACTTTATAGGATCAATAGAGCTTCTCTGATTATAAAAAACCCTCCATGTTCTACTGTTTGACACTTGCAAGACAAACATTAGAGCTTAATTCCTTTATCTTAATTCCATGTCTTTCTTGAATTTGTGGCTTTTGTTTGAGTTAGGTGGTATTTTGCAGCAGGGTTCTAGTCAGAGGAGTCATCGTGAAATAGGATGTAGTGCCCAGTTCTCAGATAGCAGAGGAAAGGCAGACAAGAATGCCCAAGTAATATTAGGTTGGTGCAAAAGTAGTTGCAGTTTTTGTCATTAAAATTAATGGCAGAAACCACATTATTTTGCACCAACCTATAGTTGAAGTATTAGCTGAATGAATAAATAAATACATGGGGACAAAGGAAAAACATGTGGACAATGGGATATGAGACGGAAGCAGGAGAAGATGGGGCAGTAGAAGAGTAGGAAGAGGAATGGACATATTCGAAAGTCTAAGGAACAACATGGCTTGAAGATAAACAGCATATTCTATAGTTCATCACTGACATACCTTAAGGCGCTGGATAAACTTGATTCATCAAGGAGAGATGATATATTCTTTAGTTTTGATTTTTTTGCATCTAATCCATTTTTTTTATTTTCAAATTAAAAACTCAGGTATAGAAAATAATGTAATTTTCAATTAAACATAATAGTAGGTTAAACAGATACTTATGACTATTGAGAGCCCACTCTAATGGACTGCTCTATATTAAACACTCACTGAATACTTTCTCTAATAGTGCATTTTATAATGACCAATTATTTCCTCTATTCTCAACAAATTTCTATGTACCATCGTTTTCTACACAACTGACTGTACAAGAAAATTCCCCTAAAAGTTATTTTCCCCTTAGAAGCCTAAAATATCAAACAATGAGCATCTCTTCTCTTCATTCTTGCATGCATACTAAAAGAAGCTAAGTATCCTCTCTTTCAACTTATCTTTTAGGGTTTCATCAATCTTGGCTGCATATCTAATATAAACTTTAGAAGGGAGTATCGTGTAATATTGGTTTGTCAGCTGCTGCCTTGCAGATATATTGTGTTGAACTATAAACTCCCAAATCTTTATTCTATAAGTTTATGTGCCTTGCTGAACATAATATAGACCCAGCAGAAATATTAAATCATGCTGATGTTAAATCTGGTGTCAATAAAGCTAGTTTACACAAGCCAGAAACTTAATATATCAGTTTCATAGTGTGGGTAGCAGAGCATGTGAGCCTTGACATGTGTAAGGCAGGACTGGGAACAGGGAGCTGGGCATGGGCAGAACCCAGGGTCGGAAAGAACACTGGCTGGCTACAGAACTGCCCTTCTCTCAGGAATAAAGGACAATTTGCATCACAGCCCACAGGGGTATTAGTTCCAAGCATTACTGATGTTAATGAGGATCCCATCTGCAGGAAAGGAAAAACACCAGGAGTCACCAAGCAAATGCAATATACAAAGTCAGGTGGGTGGCAGCCTCAGAGTTTGGGGTGGTCCATTTAATTTGGAACAAGACCCTGTCTGTGGCTGGAACTAAAGGAGATGGCATCCAGCTGCCAAATTACAGGGGATGTCAAGTGCTAGGCATGTTGACAAAATCCTAGTCAATTGGGCTAGAGTTCAAAGCAAGGCTCCAAGGCCAGCAGGGGAACTAGAGTGTGAAGCTGAAGTAAAGAGATGAGACCCATCATAGAGACCATCCCACACGATTTCACACAGCAGGCTAAAGGATGGACAGACAGCTGCTCACGGCAGGGAAGCCAGGCTATGGCCACAAGACTAACTCCAGACTTAGGTGAGGTCTCTTCAGCTCTTACATGCAGCTTGATTGAAATTAGCAAAAGAACATTGTAGAACTGAGACTAGGGGCAAAGGCACAGACCTTGCAGATGAATGGAGCTAAAGAAGACAGAAGTGAACCCTTAATTAGTCATATTTTGTCCCAGCTGTTAAATTTAATCCTTATTCTCAGACATAGAGTCACTCGGGATTCCAAATTAACCAGTTTTCTGGTCCATCAAGTTAATTATGAAACCGTCAGAATTACCTTCGGTTTGTCCTCAGTGGACTCAAACTAAATAAAAGGTTCTTCTGTGTTTCCACAAGCACGGAAAGAAAATGAGTGGGAGAGCCTGAGTTATGAGCTCCTTTCTGAGAGGTGATAATGACCAGCTGTTAATATTTGACATTGAAATGGTGATATTTGAAGGAGGAGATCCCATTATTTATTCCAAAATGGTTCTCAACTAAGCTGCCGGTATCTGCACTTTCATTAGGGTTTAGCGCCTTTAGCATTCTTTCTCTGGGATCTTATCTGAAAGGCAATCCCTGAAGGTAGAAATACAGGTTAATTTGCATGTTACACAATTATCATAGCTTTTCGTCCTAAATTAGGGACCTGGCAAAAGGAGAGAATAGGACTTGGGGTTATGAGGAAGCAGTGTTGAAAGAAAGTAAAAGATGTAGAAAAGTAATGTGAAAGGTGCTAGAATTTATATTGAAGACTGAAGCTGCTCCCTAAGTAATGATAAAGAATAAAAGGGAGAAAAGGACAAAGAGAGATACAGGGGGCCCTAAAAACAGGCCGAGGCTGCTCCATGATGTCCCTTGATTTAACCCTGCCCGTGACTTTGAAAGCAGGCAGCATGCCTGGGTGTATGGTGGAAAATATCAAAGGTTGTTACAAACGTCCTGAAGTATGCTTACTCTCTTAGTGATCTGTGCCTAAGGGTACTTCCCTTCAAACATCAACTTCAAAATAACAGAGTGTTCTTCCAATAGGTTTAAATTTTACTTGTTCCCCACTCCAAATATTTTTTCAGAGCCACCCCTATTTCTTCATGCCATTTCTGAGCCCTCTTTTGTTGCCTGAACGATTGTCACAGCCCCCTGACTGGCCTCTCTTCTATTCTCCAATTTTGCTGCATTGGGTTGAAAACTACGAATCTCATTTTGATATTCCTTGACTCCAAAATCCTTCGATGGCTTCCAGTTTCCCTCAGAATAAATTCCGAGCATCTTAGCATGTCCCATAGGTATGTCCTCTTCTGGCTACTACTGACCTCACCAGCCTCTTTTCCCATCATCAGGTGCCTCTTATTTTACCCACATCAACACCAAACTGCCTGTAGTTTTTCATACACATTATATCAGATCTTGAATTCTTGAATTTACCAGAACAACTAAATTCATAGTACCGCAAGACCATGAAGACCAGACAAAGGTACATGTGGAAGCATGGACCAGGTTCTGGGCTCAAGTTTATGTTTTCAATTCCTTTCCTTCTTAGAGGAAATCAGTTTCACAGGAAATAATTAAAACTGCACAGATGATAGGTTCTTTGGGTATTATCAAGAATTATTGAGCATCCACAGAATACCAAGTTAAACATGCAATATGAGTATACTCATAAAATTATGAATACATAATTGTATCCTACATTGCACATATTTGAGTAATTTTAACACTATACACAAAATGAAAATCAAATAATAAACTGTACAAATTATCTCCAGATTAATAGGGGAAGCTTTAGATACTGTAAAAGATTCATTAAGCACAACACTGAGGAAGTTGCAGGGGTCTGCAGGAAAACCTGATAATCTCCAAGGTCAGAGGTCCTATATTGGATGCCCACACCTTCATGTTTTCAGGATGCTTTTTGGTTTTGCTATTTTGAGTTTTGGATTTTTTTAGTGACTGAGTAAACCTATCAGGGTTTCAGGGTTTAACTCATATTTAGCAAGCTTGTGAGACTGATGTATAAAATCAGAGGGAGATTTTTTCATTTAATTATAAAAAAATAACTGCAGAAGGAACTAGTCAATTTTAAATGCCAACCAACACATTCTTACCCAGGATGCAAAATATAACCAAGACACCAGTTTATTAATTTGTAATAAGAATCAAAACTGCTGAGACATCAAACAATCTGCCCTCTGCCTAACACATCCTTTCCTATAGGCATGCAGGGAGCAAATGAAGGAGTTTCTTGGGGAGAATAAAATCAAATCAATGGTAGTTAGCTGCATGATTTGAATCTTTAATAACACTGAACTAAGATAACATAGGGCTAAACCTGCTCAAGACCACAATGCTGACTGGGCCACCTAATATTTGCCACTTAAACTCACATTTTTTGTTCGTTTTCATAGGTAATTTTACAAATACCATGATTTTTTTAAATATGGTAATAAATTCAATAATTCAATCAACTCTTGGCAGCCAGGTAGCAATTCTTTTTCTTAAAGCTACCTTTTCATATTTATACTCTATTCTATTATATGTTAATTTTTAAGTTGCATTCTTAGCGACTAAATTTATGTTCACTATTTCCAAATTCTTAGGAAATAGAACAAAATCTTAATATTTCAAGAGCTCTTACAAACCAGAAAAGAAAATTACAAATATCCTAGAAGCAAAATGATTTTTTAAAATGTAAAGAGACAATGTAAAGATAAAAATAAATGAAAATCTTCACTCTATCTAGAACCAAAAGAAATACAAATTTCAACTATGTGCAAATATCTTTAGTTGCTCTATAAAACCAGTATACACACACAGTCAAAGATTGGTAAGTGTAAAGCAAAATATGCTCTCTGTACTTCCTTCATGATCTGTTATCTCAAGTCTGGTGCATCCAAATAAATATCCCTGAAAGCTTGCTAAAAATGCAGATTTCCGGGCCTTGTCAACACTATACAAAGAGCATCAAAATATCTGGAAATGTATCTGGGATACTATAGTTTTTAAAAGCTCCCCAAGTAAGTCTGAGGTCACCACAGTTTAGAAATCATCCTTCATGCCCCATTATACGTTTTTCCAATTTCTATCCTATTTTCCATCAATAGATTTTTTTTTAACATCCAAAGCTCTTCTAAAGTGATAATGAAGAATTATACTAATAATTATACTCATATGTTTGCAGCTTTATAGCTTTGGGGGCTACACAAGATGACGAGACTGCAGCAAACCAAACAAATCGCCCTGTTTTTTTCCCCTCATTCTTGTCGAGCTCTCTGCCAGTTGTATAAACACAGCATTTGCAGGCAAGAAGAAACCCATGTTGTTACAGGAATGTCTTGAGTGATGTGATCTGCACAGAGATTGTGCCAGCCTCCTTAGCATCCTAATTAACCTGCTACAGTTCTTACGGAGCATTCTTCAAAAGAAATGTGAAGCCAAAGGAATTGCAAGAAATTCACCCCCTCCTCATTTATTGGTTCTATTTGGCATCGCTGTTGAGTGGTACGGTGTACTTTCCCAAAAGACGCAAGGGTCAAACCTAAGTTTATGCATGGAGCATTGGTCTGCCTGCTCCCTCCAGTCCACTCTGATCAGCCCCTCCCTTTATATCACATATTCTCTGTATCTCTCAGTTTGGTCTCTAATAGTATTATTCATTCAACTTTTATAGAAAGCTATTTTGTAATGCTATGTATCAAGAAGTTTAAAATGAGTCATACACTTGAGTGAGCATTTCTATTTTTAAGTTTTATCATTCAAAGAATCAGTACTTTTAATAAGCTTAAGCATTTTTAATTGCTTAAGATAACTTTGGCTACATTTTTAAAAAACCTCTGATTAGATAAAAGGATATGTAATGTTTGTGTAAAAGGATATTTATTGCAACATTATTTATAATACTTTTGAATTTAGAAACACCTTAAATATTCCATCATTGGTTAATGATTAAATAAAATCTCATGAGATATGGAAAACTGCAAACATTGAACTGCATGTTTTTGATTTATAAGATAGGATGGGAAAATATTCACAACAAGATTTTAGGCATAAAAACTAATGCGGTAACATTTTGATTTTATTGTTTTAAAAAGTATGTGTGTATGTTTTATAAATGACTTGAGGGAATATACCAAAAACTGAACAGTCTAGTATGGGTGGTAGAATTAGAATGATTTTATCATTTTCTATTTCTTAGACTTCTTATAATTAGCATGATGCTTTTTCCACTTTTTTCACTTAAAGACTAGATATTAATCTTTATCTCAAAGTAGTAATCATAGCAACAAAAACACTGTAAAAAGCTGTCCTCTGAATTAACCCACCCTTACCCTAATCCTGCTCCCAGAGGCAACCACTATTAACTCAGTTTTTTTCCTTCTCATATTTATCTTTATATTGCTAACTAATAATTGTATATCATGCTACTTATTGTTTACTAATTATTATATTATATTATTTTTTCTGAGACAGAGTTTTGCTCTTGTCGCCCAGGTTGGAGTGCAGTGGCATAATCTCTGCATAATCACTGCAACCTCCACCTCCCAGGTTCAAGTGATTCTCCTGCGTCAGCCTCCTGACTAGCTGCGATTACAGGCACGCACCACTATGCCTGGCTAATTTTTGTATTTTTAGCAGAGACGGGGTTTTGCCATGTTGGCCAGGCTGGTCTTGAATTCCTGATCTCAAGTGATCTGCCCGACTCAGCCTCCCAAAGTGCTGGGATTACAGGCATGAGCCACTGCTCCCGGCTGGTTTACCAATTTTAAACATTCTCTTTGCCTTACTACAAAAAGATGTCACTTTACATCTCTTACACAATACACCTTCTCTGGCTCCATCCTCCTAACGTAGTTTTATCATTTTTGGTTATTATAAAAATGTTTCAGTATGACACATAATTTTTATTGACTGCAGAGCCAATTAAGGTATCATAAATACATAGTATTTTCTCATTTGACTTTTTCTTTTGTAATTCCAAGTTCCTTGCCTTTTAAAAAATCTTCCTTCCAGTGTCTCCCATCTAATGTTTTTAGTTCCCTGACACATATTCTACCAGTGCCCCCCTTGTCTGAGAAGTGTCTCTCAGAGTCATTGTCCTTCTGCTTCAATCTGGGGTGGTTGATCTCCAGGCCTGCTCAGGACTGTCATCATTCAATGCTGTTTCCTGAATATCCTGTGCCATTTTCTTGCTTCTTCACACAAAAACTTCCTAGTTTTATTTGAGCACACTTTTCAAAAAAAGGATTTATAAGAGATAAATGTTCTGAACTCTTATAGTTTAAAATATCTTTATAATACTTTCAAAATTGACAGGTTGGTTGAGTTTTGGCTTTTTGCTTTACATATTTGAGTTACGAGGTGCATACACATTTAGGATTATGCTGTTCTGTTAGGTTGAGAATTTTAATATGAAATGACACACATCTATTATACTTGATATATTCATTATAGCTATTTTAAAGGCTACGTCTGACAAGTCCAGTAGTTAGGTCACTTGTGGGTTTGTTTCTATTGTCTATGTCTTCTTTTGCAGCTGTTTCATATTTTGATGGAATCCTGTTTGTGAAAATTTGTAGAGGCTCTGGTAAGTTTTTCTTCCTCCCAAGTAGGTTCATTCTATCTCTGGCAGCAGCAAGAGTGCATATCATTTGTCTAATCTGGTATTGAACTAACATGAGGCTGATTTGTACCCTGTAATGCTCAGTCTACTTCAGAATTGTTCCTACTCCAAGGGAATATCTATATGAGAATCTGGAAGGCTTCTTAGGGCTCCTCATTCATGGTGGGTTTTGAACTACAATTTTTTTATCTCTCAAGCACCATCACTGCTAAAAACTCCATGTTATTTTGGGTCTTTGCTCCCTGGCTATTTGGCCTTATTCCCTGCTAGAACAAGTGTGTTTTAACTCCCACAAAGCACTTGATATGTATTTAAGTGGAATATTAAAATGTTTACAAGATTTATATAAGACAACTAGATTATAAGGAGAAAGATAGTCTAAATCACAGGGAACAATATGAGCTAAGAATACAGAAAGCAGAATGTAAGTGGAGGTTCCAAGAGATGGTAATCAAGCAGTCTGATTAGAATTCAGTGTTTGTCCTAAGGAATACTGGCAACAAAATTCTAGGAAGATGAATTGGCACCAGCCTATATAAGGTTTTGGAATTCAGAGTGGCACATTTGGATTCTATCTAGGAGGCAATGGAAAACATGAGAGTTTTATAATAGATGAATGAGACTGTAGTAGCAGTATTTTGGAAAGATTATTTCAATAAAACTGAGAAAAAGATTATATGCATTGGACTGATTCTTTAAGGCAAGGAGAAAACTTATAATATTTTGGATAGAGAAATAACACCCAAGTAGATAGTTTGGGAAATGTCACATCAACCAGAGTTAAATATTTGGATGAAATATGGAAGTCACAGAACTCAAAGAAAATAACTTAATTCATGCCTGATGTTAAGGATAGTAATTATTCTGTAAGGCTTTTTTCTTTAGAACAGAATGTATCACAGTCTTAGCCCAAGGTAAAGATATTCAGTTTAGCTCTGATTCCCTCTACTCTCTGGCATTGTGCAAATATATAGGAATTTATGGATGGGCTGTGAAGAGGGTGCCAATGGTGATATTTATTTATTCTTCCCTTTAGGGGAAAAAATAGCCAACCATTCATAAAACTCAGGTGTTTCCTATGTATCAATCTATAGCAAAAGAAAATATTATATCATCCATTCATTTGAAAAATAATATTTTCTAAACTTATTAAAGTCCAGAGTGCTATGAGTTATAATATTTGAGTTCTAGAGCTTGGGGACATCTCTCCAGAGTAGGGATATATGCTAATTGCATTTGTTAACAGTTCTGTGTTGGTGAGCTGTCAGCAGCCATGACACAGAGTCTGCTAGAGAACGTGGGGGTTTGAAGAGCTCTTCCAATCACAGCATGGTACTTCTGACAATCACAGGGTGACTTGCAATCAAAATGTCTGATTAAAAATCTTTGTGAGGAAAGAGTTGCTTTAATATGAAAATGTAGGCCCACCCTCTCCCCCAACCTTCACTTTTTTTCTTCCCGTCTAGCCCCCAAGTCAATAAATAGTTCATTTTAAGACATAGAGTCACGGAAATTGGCTCCAGTATTAGCTTCAATTCTACTGTTATATTTAGAGTTCCATCGAACCTGTCTAGTGATGTCAACCTCTTCCTGTAATCAACAAATGAAAGGTGTATTTTACTTTATTTGCAGCTATCCAGTAACCACCCATGGGGGCAGCTATATCTTCCTTTTCAGCTCGTTATACCATTCTCTTTCTACCGACAGGAATAGTGAAAAAGGTTGCTATGATTGTTCAACAGCTGTTGTGCCTACTCCAGAGGAATCCATCTCTCACTAGTGGAAAATTAGTGCTCATATTTTGTCAGGATAGTACTTTGGGATGCAAGGTGCCTTGTTATGTACATTCAAGCTATTACTACTAATTGTTCAATTAATTTGCAATTGTAGATGGATAAAAATAATGGGTTTGCCTTGTTTGTCAAAATGCCCCCTTAAGCGCAATTGCATTGCAATATCTGTGCAAAGGCGGTCCACATACATCCTCAGGTAATCTTCACTGGAGAGAGCTGCCATATGCTAATGAATTCTACCACTGAGGGACAAACAATCCTGCAAGACTTCTCTAAGGCACATTTATATGTCAAACTAACGATAGGCCCTGCCTCATCACAAGAAAAACTGGAAAGCTCCAAGTGCTATATCATCATTTTCAGCTCATTTAAGTCATTAGCATTTTGCCATTATCATTTGTTTCCTGTTATACCTTCTCCAGGGTAATAGATGTGTTGTGCCCTCAGGGTGCCTCCCACCCACAGACTTGAGAGCATATCTCCAACACCAAGCCACAGATGATATAAATGAAGGTACCGATTACAGCTGTAACACCATTAAAACTACCTAGTAGTGGGGAGCAAGGGAGTGTGACCAGAGAGACAGAGTGACTCTATGATGTGCTCTCATCCCCTCCTCTTTGGGTCTACAGTCGCAGCTGAGGTGCTGGTAAGAAGCATTTGATTCGCCATATCTTTAGTGGGAATGCCTCACTGCCTGATCACAATGAATATAAAATATTAAACTGCTAACAGTGTATTAAGCTCTCAGTATATCGATTCATGGCACAGTGACACCAACTGAGTGTGTCATCTGTGATGAACAAAGAGTACTAATTGGCTCAAAAATAAAATTAATATAAATAATGATAATTAGTGGCAATACTGTCCATGTTTTGATAAAGCACTTGAACTATCCAAAGCATTTTCATGAGCTTATGTCATTTTGGTTCTTCTGGCAATGCCTAATGACTAGGGTGGCTTTGTTCATTATGGTGTGCATTTGTATTGAGCTCCCATTCTGTGTCAAA
Source organism: Homo sapiens (assembly GCF_000001405.40). NCBI lineage: Eukaryota > Metazoa > Chordata > Mammalia > Primates > Hominidae > Homo > Homo sapiens. The sequence goes on along the minus strand of NC_000018.10, from coordinate 51,910,289 downwards.
TGCTCTCCTAAGCACAGTGTGTGTGCGCACATGTGTGTATATATATACACCTATCCAAGCCTAATAACTCCTCTACTATGCTCTGTTGCAGAAAATATTAAAGCTCCCCGATTAGCCATCATTTGACTGTGATCACTAGAAAACAAACTGGTCACCTACTGCTCAATGATCAGTTCCTGGAGTATTACATTTTCCTCTCCCAAATAGAAACTCAGTATCAGACAATATGGTCCCAGTAAACCATTGCTTCATAGTGTTGCTGACTGCTCCATACTCTGGAACATGCTTCTTTTACTAGACTGTGGGCTTTGGGTGAGGACTAACCTACAAGTATTTTAAATCTTCTAAGGACATAGCACAATGTTATGCGTACATCTTTTGCGTATATCTCAACCAATATTCTCCAAAATTGGCTTTGCAACTGTATTAGTCAGGGTTGTCTAGAGAAACAAAACCAATAGGGTATACAGATATATAGAGCTATATTATGAGGGATTGGCCCACACAATTATAGAAGCTGAGAAGTCCCATGATTTACCATCTGCAAGCTAGAAGTCTAGGAAAGCCAGTGGTATAGTTCCATATAAGCCCAAAGGCCTGAGAATTACAGGAGCTTATGGTGTAAGTCTCACTCTGAGTCCAAATACCTGAGAACCAGGAACACTGATGTCTGAGGGCAGGAGAAGATGGTTGTTTAATCTCAAGCAGAGAGAGCAAATTCACTGCTTGAAATAGGCCATCCATCTTCTCTTTAGGCCCTCAAGGAATTGGAGAATGCCTACCCACATTGGTGAGAGCAATCTTATTTACTGAGTCTAGAGATTCAAGTGCTCATTTTTTTCTGGAAACACTCTCAGACACATCCAGAAATAATGTTTTACCAGCTGTCTGGGCATCTCTTAGCACAAACAAGTTGACACATAAAATTAACCATCATGAGTCTTCCTCTTGTTAATCTGGCACTATACATATCTCCTTAAACAATACTTAGTCTCTCAATAAAGGCAATGACAAGGTCATAATTCCACCTTAATATGACACAACCATCCTGCATACAACCAAAAATACATTAATCCCTTCCCCAAAAGAGAAGGAAGTTCTTGGGTGATCTTTACTCTTCTCCTGATACCTTGTAACTTCAAAACTATGATGTTAAATTTATAATACATAATGAACAAACCTTCATTTCTGAAGGGTCTGGGCCATTAGTAGTTATTTGTGGATTGGGTTGTTGTAGTTTTCCATTGACCTTAATCACAGGGTCATACTAAGAGATACCCTAAGGAATCTCTCATATTATAAACTCTTCCTCACCTCTCTTGTGGAGCAGTAGTCCGTCTTCCCCTTAACAGTCTGAACCCAGCCAGTACCATAACTCCCTTATTTGTCTGTTGACTCAGAGGCATATAGAACCCTAAGTGGCTGGGTGACAGTCTTAACCCAGTTCAATGGAAGAATTGTGTCTCCTGGTAGAAGAATAGTTTCCTCTAGAACAAAGTCCTCTAGGCCAGGATAGCATAAAATTGTGAAAACAGGAAGCCAAAATTCTGCTAGTAGGTTACTGATAGTAACAGCAACTGGTCCCACTTCCATTTTCACTCTTTGAGTACAGTGCATAGCAGAGTGTTCTGTGCACATATTTTGTGCATATCTTGACCAATATTTTCCAAACCTGGCCATGCAACCAAATCACTAGGTGAACTGGTTAAAAATACAGATTTCCAGTACATTCCATATACTCTGAATAAAACTCTAGCAGTGATAGCCTGGAATATGTATTGTTTTCAAACATCCCATGTGACTTTCAAGGCACTGGACCATGGCTAGAGAACTACTGATGTCAGTATAAACATTTTCCATTCTTCACTTTTTCACCATAAAACTCCTGACCTGTGTTCCATTTTCAGCTAACAATTTATTAAACCACAGCTTTGATAACATGGAAATGAATAGTTATATTAATCATAATCACAACCTTCTGCATATGTGTACAGATTTATATTCATTGGGTTTGTCCTGTTCCCTAGTCCTGAAACCAGATGACAAGGCTTTGGCAAGTTGAACTAATTAACTTCTTTCAGTCCTTTTGGACTCTGCCCCAGTTGTACAAACACAGCTTTTGCAAGCAGGAACAAACACCAGTTAGTTGCACTGAAATTTTGCATGACGTTAATCCGCTCAGAAATTGTGCCAGCCTCTTAGCATCTTAATTAACCTGCTTCATTTCTCTGGAAATCTGGAAATACTCCTCAGAAGAAAACGTACAGAAGCAAAAGTCGCTCAGGCAGAATCCCCTCAATTACTGGTTTAATTTGGTATCACTGGTGAATAGTATTGAGTAAAAACCAACATCTGTTCCTTCACAAGGCCTGACCTGGTCACTCAAGTTCCCAACATCCCCTTGCCTTGGTATTCTGTAAAACGGACCCTTGGCACCAACCATTCTGGCACCAGTAATGTGTGGCTCCGTAGTGTTGCTGATCAGTGCATATGTCTGAAACATGTTCCCTTCACTAGATCACGGGCCTCTAGATTGATTACAATGACTGGCCTACAAGCCTTCAAAATCTTCTCAGTAGATAGCATGGTGTTGTGTGTGTAGTCAAATACTTTCTCAAATGAACACGTGCATTATTTCATTGTGTATACTTACTATTGCTCATTTATTTCACCAAAACTGAATTCTTCTTTACTAATAGCTTACATCATCTGAAACATCTTATTTGAAATGTACTCTATCTTACGTTCAGTCAACAGAAATTTCTGATTATGGAATAAGAGTTTGGGGTATAATTGCTGAAAAAAATATGCTACCTATATTGAATATATTAGGGTGTGAATATTGCATATTCCCTAGCCCTCATTCTATATCTAAATATAACTATAGCACTAATCTCTTGCCTAAAAAATAATTGTTATAACCTGTGTCTGTTTGATATGTTAAACTCAACTAACATAAAGCTTACTCTCTAGAGCAGTGATCCTCAGGGGGTAACCTCAGGGTCATTTGGAAACTAGTTAGAAGCTTAAATTTTCTAGCCTCATACATTCTGTGGGTGAGTCCAGCAAAGTGCTTCAACAAGCCCTCCAGGTGAGTCAGGTGCACCCAAAGTTTGGAACTTCTGCCCTAGATAATAATTATTGAAGTCTCTATCTATAGTGGGCACTATATTAAACATTTTGAGGTCAATTCCATTTTTAATCACTCGTATTGGTTGATTCCAAGTGGTAATTTCTATTTGACCTGATCATATACTGTCTAATCAATCTGGTCATCAGCACTACAAAATTGAATTGATTTAATTCCTGAGAATGGACCAGACCACCAATCTACCAAGGGCTAATATAACTGAACATAGAGCCTTCATTCATAAATTATCTCAATCTTGAAACAGGGAACTAAGCTGGAAATAAAATTTTTCATTCTCAAATAATGCCTAGGATATATTTTAAAAGATAATTCCATCTGTTATAATGTACCCACTTAAAAAAGTTTAATTCACCAATATTCACAAATACTATCATATTTAAGGGCCCCAGTGTTTTCCGAGCTTTATGTAAAAATCACTCATTTGCTCAAAACTCACACCTCTTCTCAGTTATTCTCCTCAGAAATGCAGTGTAAGGCGTCACAATAGCATGGTCAATCTCTTAAACATTCTAAAATCGCATATCCAAAATACCATCCTTGCTTCCAAACTTTCAAATTAGCTCCTGTAAAAGCCTGCACCCTCTTTCCTCCAGTGTTTAAATTCCAGCTCTGTAAGATCTCATTTAGAAGTCTTTCACTGCCCAAAACACATTTGCTTAAAGAACCCATCAGATAATCAATTCTGATATTTGAGGGGTAATTTAGTTTCTTAAAAACATCCATTTAGTTATAATAATTCAAGTATAGTGAATAAGATTAATAATCCAAATCAGGTGACAGCACTTGTGTATGATAGCTTTTCTTGATATAAATGTGGCTGGTTTTGTATTCTGCTTTGAAATCTGGCTTTAAGGGTCATTCTTACATGATTGGGGTCACATATAGCTTCTGTTAGAGATGACTTTTGGACTTCTAAGTTTTAATATATTGGTTAAAATACACAATGAATTAATTATTTTAACAAATATTTAAGTTCGGAACCTGACACTGTGCTAGGTGCTGAGCTAATGGCAACCAAGATAGACATAATACCTGTCCTGGTAGGGCTTATATTATTTTTGGTAACACCTTTATCATTCCAAGTTTCAGGCAGCTGGAGACTGCTAATATATTTTAGTGACTAATGATGAAATTATAATTGTGCAATTGTAGTCATTCCTCTTTAAGTAAAAAAAAAAAATGGTTATAACTCAATCCACTTTGTATTCAGTCATTATGAACAGGTAGATTCAAGCAGCCTGTCATTCTTTGCCTGGATATCAATGTAGAAAACTAGGTTAATAAAATCGCATGCAGACTTAGGTTTCATGCTGGCCAGTATCATGCTAAGCTTCCTAAACTGGACCATAATCACAAGGGATTAATACAAATAATACTATCTAAGTGCTTTAGCTACTTTAGATAATTTAATCCTCTATTACAAACATGGGAGATAATGTGCTATACTAATTCCATTTTACAGATGGAGAAACTGAGGCACAGAGAGATGGAGTAACTTGCCAAGGTCACATAACTAACTAGGGGAAGAACTAAGCTTCCAACACAGGCAGTCTGGCTCCGGAGTCAGTGCTCTTAACTGCTAAACAAGCTACTCTCTATTTCCTTAATGAAATGATAATAAAATATGAACATAAAACATTCATAACTAAAATAGCTTATATTACTATATCTGCAATTAAATTTGCCAAAAGCCCTCTTAATTCAGGGAACTAGTGCAACAACTGACAGTGTGCTGGCCCAAGAGAACTAGGTCCAGCTTTGCCTTTCATGTTATTGTCCCCATTGTGGTGATTGGTTCTCTTCAATTGCTTTACTCTGTAATGACTCCCATAGCCTTGAATTCTAGTTTTTCTGATAAATTAGCTATCATATCTTTGACCCCACTGGTTCTGTTTGAATCTTTCTATTTTATGGTTTTAGGCTTTAAAGCAAGCCTTCTGCTTATTTTGCTTTCTGCAGTGACACTGTCCACCTCGTATATGATCTATTCTAGACTGAGCCTTTCTCTCATTCTACTACTGTTTCCATTTGAATTTGTTGTGACAGGAACTCTCTCATTATATCTCAGGTAAACGCATTCTTTGGGGAAAAAATGGCTTGCTCACTAGAAGTACTATTAATATGATCAGTGTACTAAGAAACAAATTCTCCATGCCTATTGTCTCTGGTTTCTAGAAATAGGAAAAGCAGATTTCCTACGACACATTATCTCAAATCCCTAATCCAGAGAAAACAGAGATAACACAATCACCTCAACCTTTTCTAATCCATTAATATACGTGGATTCAATATAATGCAATATTTTATCATATTTTACACACAACTGTGCAATATTACCATGGGAACTATTTTCCAGAGATCTTCATGTGTCTTGCTCCTTCATTTTCATCAGCTCTCTACTCAAATGTCACGTAGTCATAGAAGCTTTCTTGTACAAAATAAGAAACTCCTGCTCCAGTCATTGTCTAGACCTGTCACTCACCCTGTTTAATTTTTCTTCAGAAACTATATCACCATTTCAATGCTCTTACCATGTCTCTTCAGCTCCTTGAGGACAGGAATTTGCCTATTTCATTGAGTTCTGTATCGCTACTATCTAGGAAAATTGATGTAACATAGTTATTGGTCAATAGATATTTATTTAAATATAATATAAAGAAGAAGGTATTGTTCTTATCTTCAAGATTAAAAATCTCAACAAAAGTAAGCTTCAGAAATTATTTACTGAGTCCTTCCTATGTTCCTAACATTCATTTGCTGAGGATGTAAAGGTAGAAATATGAAATTCCTTAACAGGTCAATTTCTACTAATTTATCATACTAAACCATTTGAATAATATATATTATAGGAGTTAAGAAATAGAACTAAATTTTTATTAGTTCTAGAATAGGTCAAGAAAGCTTTTTTACAATAAGGTAAGATTTGAATTGGACATTGAAGGATGTATAAATTTTGTACAGGTTGAGATGGAGATGAGAATGAATGCCCATATGAAGTCAACATTGTGGCTTTTACCAACACACTCACTCACACTTCCACACACTTACTATGTAGCCAGTGAGATGACCTTTCTTATTCTGAACCACTGAATGAAAGAGGGGACAAATCATATCTCTATGGTCTATTTTCTTTGAAATGTGATTCCAAACAGGGGAGTTGATTCAGTGCTGAATATCCTGCTCTGTAACGAAGATGGCTATAGAGACAAATACTCCAACATTTAGAAACTTTCTGAGTCACAGGGCTCTGATTTTTAAAGACAGCTCAGTGGTGGTAGTAGAAACCCCCACTTAGGGAACATGCCCTAGTAAAAAGGACACTGGTATTAAAATGGAAAGACCTGAGATCTTATTCCAACTCTTTAAGTCCTCAAATGTACCCAATCTATAACTCATTAATAGCCTTCATCTCTCTCTTTCTCTCACACACACTGTTATTATAATAATTTGACTACATACTCGATAGCATGTAACTTATACACCATATTTAAGGGTAGCTGAATTAGGCCTTCTGCAGAAGAGAGAGAATAAAACTTTGGGTTGAAATTCCAGGTGCTGAAAATATACCACCTGCTCTGTGTTTTGGTTTAACCCAACCCTTCTTCGAGAACAAAATCAAGTTTGACAATTCAGCATTCTGCTATACTTAGAATCTAATGCCAAAGTGTATAATATTGGCTTTTTAAAAAATCGTTTCTTTGTAAAATGAGAATAACACCTGTACTGTAATTATATGGATAAAAGAAAATTTACACAGCATCATTGACCTTAGAGTAATTTGTGGGCCACAGAAACTACTAGTTCAGCATCCTCATTTTACAGAAAGTTGAAAGCCAAAGAGGTCCAGTGACTTGCTCAAAGATCACTAAGCCATAAAATGACAGAGACAGGATCATGACCTAAGTTTTTAGACATCTAAGGAGGAAGCTTTTGTTTTAACTACATAAGAGTGCTCAATCAAATTTGCTTAAAGATAATTTGACAAAGCAATTTCACATAAATTCACAGCATAATTATAGCTCGGTTCGTGTATAAACTAGATGTTCTAGGAAAGCCATAGAAAATGATCTCATTCTCAACCAGTGTTGGCCCATGTGTATAAAGCGGAACATAATCCTCATGGAGAAAAGAGGTCATTCCAAAACAACACAGATTTCTGACTTCTGCCTTGGGTATGTAAAGTTAGGAAGAGCATTACTCTTCCCAAACAAAAACAGCCATTTATAGTCTAGAAAAAGCATAAAGTTTCCTGAACCCATCAAAGAGCTTAGGTTACAGGGCAACCAGCTGTCCTGTCTACCAGCAAAGTTGGATGCTGGCTCACCTACAGCAGAGCACAGAGGAAGATGGGGCCACCACACAAATGGATATTTTAAAACATTGGTTAAAACTTTCAATGAACTGCTGGATGTGAATGTGGAATAGTGTGAGGGTATAGACACACTGGTTGTGGAGAGTCACAAACACAAAGTGAGTTATCATTCACTTGCTGACTTTTCTTTATAGGTCTCCAGTGGGGGCTCATGAAAATGCCAGAGGCAGGAAACCAGAGAAAACTTTCATCAGCAGTGTGAATCTTTGGGAGAGTAGAGACCAGTGATGTGGGAAAGGAAGAAAATTCCTTCTTGGGTTCTTTTCCCCTCAAAAACTAAAGGTTTAAGCTGCTGTGGGAAGAGCGTCAAATACTGTGGTCTCAGGACACTGGAACATTTCTAGCAGCTGCAGGTAAAGTATAGAATGGGTAAAAGACAAGAAACCATCCTAGGTTCTGATCATTGATCTCCTATCTGTTTGAGAGAGGCAAGATCACTGGGAAAGGCATTCTCCAGAGACCCAGGAACACAAGACCTGACTGAGGCTGAGGCTGGATAACCAAGAAGCCTTCTGGCCCTAATCATCGGGCCAGTGAGCACAAAGTCACAACCAGCAGCAGCCTACTATAGAGGGAGCTCAGGAGAATACAGAGCTCTTCTACGTGGGGAAAGAGAACAAGGGAGGCCTAAAGCTGAGGGTTAATCAGGAACATTGAGGGAAAATCTTCCAGCAGAGCAGCCTCCAGCCTAAGTACAAAGCAAAGATTGAAAAATTTAAATTCAGTGGTATACTGAAGGTAAGCATAACAACAAAATCTAAATCTAGCTCAACTACCAACTAAATTTAGTAAACATTCCGCAATAACAGCTGAGCAGAAGAAGAGATATGCCCAGCTCAGGAATACATATTTATTTTTATTGTTTAAAGACAGCATCTCTCTCTGTCATGCAGGCAATAGTGCAGCGGCACAATCGCAGCTCATTGCAGCCTCTCAAAGCACTGGGATTCCAGGTGTGAGCCACTGTGGCCAGCCCAGAAATATATATTTCTTACCCCTGTCTCTATTGTTCTACACAAAATACCAGCGTTCAATAAAAAATAATACACACAAAAAAGCAAGGACAAACAGCCTTCTATTAAGAAAAAAGGAAATTAGAAGAATCAGATTCAGAGATGACCCAGATGTTGGAACCATCAGATATGAAATTTAAAAGAATAATTATTGATATAATTAACTATTATTATGTTAGTGGAAAAGACGGATGACATGTACGAATAAATGGAAAATTTTAGCAGAGACGGAACTATAATAAAGACTAAAATGAAAATGCTAGGCATAAAAACAACACACAGTAGCAAAGCTTAAGAGTGCCTTCCACAGGCTCCCCAGCAGACAACACAACAAAGGAAAGAAGGAGTGAACCCGGAACTATAAGCTCAGTAGATGCTACACAAACTGAAAAAGAAAGACAATGTGGTATTGGGGAAAACAGAATACAGTATCTAAGTGCTGAGGAACAAAATCCAACATTCACATGTGCAATTAGAATCCCAGGAGAAGAAGAGAAAGAAAATGGAGAGAAATATGTGAAGGAGTCATGGTTAAACATATTCTAGAATCTCAGAGAACCACAAGCCAGATAAATACAAAAACAAACAAGCAAAAACTTAAAGTCTTCATATTTAAGCTGAAGAAAACAACGATAAAAAGAAAATATTAAAGGCAAGCAGAATAAAAAACAGAAAAGAAAGAAGTATAAGAATGTAGCAAACTTCATGAGACAATGTAATGACTTCTTTAAAGTGCTGAGAGAATTCCGAACAGTGAAAATACCTTTCAAAAATAAATTGCCCTTTTTTAAGACAAAATTTTAGAGAATTAATTAATTAATTGATTTTTATTTTATTTATTTATTTTTTGAGATGGAGTTTCACTCTTGTTGTCCAGGCTGGAGCACAATGGCGCAATCTTGGCTCGCTGCAACCTCCGCCTCCCGGGTTCAAGAGATTCTCCTGCCTCAGCTTCCCAAGTAGCTGGGATTACATGTGCCTGCCACCATGCCCAGCTGATTTTTTGTATTTTTAGTAGAGATGGGGTTTCACCACGTTGGCCAGGATGGTCTCGATCTCTTGACCTCGTGATCTGCCTGCCTTGGCCTCCCAAAGTGCTGGGATTACAGGCATGAGCCACCGCGCCTGGCCAATTTTAGAGAATTTATTATTAGCATATCTACACTACAGAGACTCTGATTTATTTATAACAGAAAAAAATGTAAATATTTTAAAAGAAGCTTTTCCCTATGTTTAATCACTCTAAAAGATAATTGACTAAGGCAAAAAAAAAAATAGCAATGTATTTTGGATATATGGAATATATGAAAATAAAATGCATCATAAGAATAGCAAAAACTTTAAAAGTGGGCAATTGGAAACAAGTTAAAGTTATTATATATGTGAAGTATTATAATAATACTGGAATATAAGATGCAAATAATTAAATTGATATGCTACAAACCCCAGGAAAAAAACAGCAAAATTTTTTGAAACAGGTGTGAATTATAAGCTAATATTGAAGATAAAAGGGTTATAAAAAATAATCAATCCAAAAACAGGCAAAAGAAAAGAGAACAAAAGATCCTCAACATGAAACAAATAGAAAACAGCTAGCGAGATAATCTATCATCCATTTTAGTAATTACTTTAAATGTTATAACACTGTTAGAAGACAAATTTTCAAAATGAATAGATATGCAGCACCCAAATATTCTCTGTCTACACTAAACCAACTTAGCATAAAAAAACATAGCTTAGCTTCTGCACATTGAAAGAAACTATCAACAGAGTAAACAGACAACCTGCAGAATAGGAGAAAATATTTGCAAACTTACCTCTGGCAAAGGTCTAATATCCAGAATCCATAGGAAATTAAAGAAATAAACAAGAAAAAAAACAACCTCATTAAAAAGCAGGCAAAGGACATGAGCAGACTCTTCTCAAAAGAAGACATACATGTGGCCAACAATTATATTTAAAAAATGCTCAACATCACTTATCATTAGAGAAATAAAAATCACAACCACAATGAGATACCATCTCACACTAGTCAGGATGGCTATTATTGAAAAGTCAAAAAATAATAGATGCTGGCAAGGTTGCAGAGAAAAGGGAATGCTTATACACCACTGGTGGAAAAGTAAATTAGTTCAGCCATTGTGGAAGGCATTTTGGCAATTTCTCAAAAAACTCAAAACAGAACTACCATTTGACCCAAAAATCCCATTGTTGGGTATAAACCCAAAATAATATAAATTATTCTACCATAAAGACACACCACTGCAGCACTATTTGCAATAGCAAAGATGTGGAATCAAACTAAACCCATCAATGATAGACTAGATTTAAAAAATGTGGTACATATACACCACAGAATACTATGTAGCCATAAAAAAGAACAAGATCACATCCTTTGCAGCAGGATCTGGAGGCCATTTATCCTAACTGAACTAACATAGAAACAGAAAACTAAACACCACATGTTCTCACTTATAAGCAGGAATTAAATACTGAGTAAATATGGATGGATACAAAGAAGGAAGCAACAGACACCAGGGCCTACTTGAAGGTGGAGAGAGGGAGAAGAGTGAGGTTGGAGAAATTGCCTTATGGGGTACCATGCTTACTACCTGGGTAGCAAAATAATCTGTCCACAAAACCCCCATGACATGCAATTTACCTATGCAGAAATCTGCACATGTACCCCTGAAACTAAAAGTGAAAAAATTAATAAATAAAAACATGAAAATATACCTTTTATTAACTCTAATTAAAACATATCTAGAAAATAAATTCTACTGTCTTTGCTAAATTAATATCAAAATAGATCTGTGGAACACATTCATGTTTGGAAGCCCAGAACAAATACCAATTCTGTAAACTCACTAATCAGATTTTATATCTTCTTCCACTATATTCTTTCTTTTCTTTTCTTTTCTTTTTTTTTTTCTTTGAGACAGTCTCTCCCTCTGTCGCCCAGGCTGGAGTGCAGTGGCACGATCTCGGCTCACTGCAAGCTCCACCTTCCAGGTTCACGCCATTCTCCTGTCTCAGCCTCCCAAGTAGCTGGGACTGCAGGCACCCACCACCACGCCCAGCTAATTTTTTGTATTTTTAGTAGAGACGGGGTTTCACCACGTTAGCCAGGATGGTTTCTATCTCCTGAGCTCGTGATCTGCCAGCCTCGGCCTCCTAAAATGCTAGGATTACAGGCATGAGCCACTGCGCCCACCCTCTTTTTTGTTTGTTTTTGTTTTTGTTTTTGAGATGGAGTCTTGCTCTGTTGCTCAGGCTGTAGTGCAGTAGCATGATCTCAGCTGACTGCAACCTCCGCTTCCTGGGTTCAAGTGATTCTCCTGCCTCAGCCTCCCAGGTAGCTGGGATTACAGGCGCCCGCCACCATGCCCAGCTAATTTTTTTGTACTTTTAGTAGAGAAGGGGTTTTACAATGTTGGCCAGGTTGATCTCAAACTCCTGACCTAAAGTAATCCACCCGCCTCGGTTCCCAAAGTGCTAGGATTACAGGTGTGAGCGACTGCACCCGGCCCACTGTATTCTTTCAACACCTAATCTGAACCTTTATCACAGCTCTCATTGCCGCTTTATGGTAAGGTGTGGTCCTATGACTAATTCTAGCCAATGAATCATGAGCTAAAATAATGTGTCCCTTCTGTCTCTGAGCCCTTAATTGCTAAGGCAAGTGAAAAGCCTTTTCTTTCTCTTGCACAACATCAACCAATACTCAAGATGATGACAGCTCTATCCACTTGGGGTTCAGAAAGAAATGTGGAGAATAAACCACAGTGATCCACAATGGATAGGTGGCAGGAAAAAGAATTAACTTTGTTGTTTACACCGGGGACAGCAAACTATCACTTGGGGCCAAATCGGGCCAGTTGCCTGTTTTTGAAAAGGAAGTTTTATTGCAACACAGCCATGCCCATTCTCTTATGTATTGTCTGTGGGTGCTTCTGTGCTACATTGGCAGAACTGAGTAGTTTTGATGGGCCTGTGTGGCCTGCAAAGGAGGAAATGTTTACTAGCTGGCCCTTTAAAGCAGGGCTGCTAGGACTAACATGAGGTAACAAGGCACCTTGGGTGCAAAATTGAAGGCAGCAGTCACTCTCAGGGTCATGAGGTGCTAACCTTGCACTTGGTAACTGAAATTTCCTATTTCAAAGTGATGCCTAGATTTGGAATTGAATGATAAATTGTTCAAATAATGTTTATTATTGTACAGTCCAAAGGGATAAATCACATGGCAAATATACTATAAAATATTTTAATGCCAATACACAACTCACTGTGACTAACATCATGATTTTCACTGTCACTTAAAGCAATGTTTAGACCCATAGAATAATGTAAAGAATTACTATCCAGCTTTATACTCATAATATGTAAGTTAACTTTAAAATATAAATTGTTCAATATTGAGAGTATTCCTTTTCCATTGTGTGTAACTGAAGAAAATGTGTTAATCCTTGAATACTTCTGGATCTACAGATTAGAACAGAAGGAGAAGAAAACGGATGCTTGGCACTCTTGGGAAACGATAGTTCATTATGCAAAAATTTATTACATTCATGCTGTCTGAGAGAAAGGATTTGACAAATTAATTTATCTTTTCTCTTACCTAAGCACCTCCGCTCAAATCCTTCTTGCATGCCAAAACAGAAATTGTCTATGACACCAGGTATATCACAACTAATAAACCTTCAAAGATTTCTTTGCAGTCCCCTTTGTTTTAAAGATATGGTACAAGAGATGTAGAGATACTTTTCTCCTAGGGCCTGAACAGTGATCATCAAAACAGTAGGTGTTTAGAATTATAGGTCACGCTGGACCCTTAATGTCAGAGGTAAGCAGATGTCTTTAAAATATTTACATTTTTTTTGCACGTTTGTAACTTGTGGATCTCTCTCATGTGCAGTTTCCATGGCAGATGACCCTCTTGCCTGGGTTTAAGGACATCCTAAAAGAAGAGATACAATGCAAAGAGCAGTGAGGTTAATCAGAAAGACGTGGGAGGCATCCAGGGAGCAGATTAAAGGAGCTGGAGCCTTAGACAAAGGCTTGAGGTCAAATTGCCCACTTCACGGCTTAATAGATCTTGTCCTAGAAGGCTCTAGGAGTGGCTCTCTGGTAGCCAGAGGAGCAGTGCTATGTCATTGTTCCAGATCTGGATCCTCCAGACTCAGTATCCTTCAAGCTCATACACAGTGGTGGGGTTTGCAAGACCTCACAGTATAAAGCCTTACTTTAGTGCTTCATTCTACCTGTCCTCCTGTGCCTAATTATACTTCTCCTTTTGCCCTGCCCTTAAAGGAGACAGACTTTAATTATTATTCATTCATCAATTTACTCATTTGTTTTAATCAACAAGGACTATATTCTGCATCTTTCATGTGTAAGGCTTGACTGAAGGCAATAAAAGGACAACAAAATCAACAAAACAGCATTCCTTTTTCTAGGAGGGGGATGAGAATAGACAATTTCTGAGCACCTACCTTGCTTCTTCATGCTGCTATTTTAGTTGAATCCTCACAACAGCCCCATCATCTTATACTTAAAGGAAATGAGGCTGAAAGAGGTCAAGGTCACACAAGTAATAAATACAGGCCTTATGGCTTAACCTGAGATCGCTCTGATTCCAAAGCTTATGTTTTATTACATTATATTTATAGTTTCGAAAAAGATTTTTTAAGGGACATATATGCAAATGCCATACTATAAATCTATGTAAGTATTGGAGCCTTTGGATGGTAGAGGCTTGTTTGTAAAAGTAATATTCTTGACCTTCCAAATATCAGTAGTACTAGAAGGAAAGAAAAAGACATTTCTGCCTCATGCCAAATAATGTGATCAGTGTGAGAACAGGCACTGTGTCTTAGCTCACCTTCCTAACTGCTGAACAAATAACAGATATTCCATATGTGATATAGAAATGAATTAAGGACAGGTGTGATGGTTCACACCTATAATCTCAGCACTCTGGGAGGTCAAGGCAAGGAAGATTACTTGAGCCCAGGAGTTCAAGACCAGCCTGGGCAATGCAATGAGACCCTGACTCTACAACAATTTTTTAAAATTAGCTGGGTATGGTGGCACGTCCCTGTAATCCCAGCTACTTGGGAAGCTGAGTTGGGAGGATCACATGAGCCCAGGAATTTCAGGCTGCAGTGAGCCCTGATTGCACCATGGTATTCTAGCCTGGGTGACAAGCCAAAACACTATTGAAAGAAAGAAAAGAAAAGGAAAAAAGGAAAGAAAGGAAGAAACAAAGTAAATGCCTAAAGAGCCAAAGGAAAAAGGAAATGAGCATGAGGAAACACCAGAGACAGAGAGAGCTCTGGGTTTTCGCCTCTTGGAACTCAGCAAGCAGAGAAGGAACAAATGTATGGGAAGAAACCCTCAGATGGGCCCTGAGGACAAATTACACAGCTTAATGAGTCTCTTCCAAGTCTCATTTGGTGGTTTCAGGGATTGAAAATCTGCAAAAGGCCCTTCTCCTCCTTGCTTTTAGATGAGAGAAATGTCCATCAGAGATGTATGACCGTTTATAAATAAGATCTTCTGCATGGACAGGGGGTGACACATGGCCGTGTCCTATTGGGCTCTTGTTGATGGAGTCTTTTGCTGGCAGGAGTGACTTGAGGAACCATCAGCTAGATTAATTACGGAAGAGCCAACTGCATGCTTCCACTGATCATCTGGGCAAATTGGAAAAACAGCTGTCTGGAGATATAGGCAGGCACTTCCACTGCAAGCCACACTCGTGGGCCAGGCAGAAAGCAGGCTTTGATCTAAAATTCTAGACAATAGAACTCGACTCCTTGCTCAAACATCCTTTGGGTCAACCCACTAGGCAAGCCACAATGCTGCTAGATTTAAACGCAGCTTGAGAATCTCCCACTGGGAGTGATATCTCTACCCTCCTTTTCCATGGTTTTGTTTTATATTTTAGTTAGGTATACACAGTTTGTGAGTCTCCACAATCTATTCGATTCGTGGGGAAGAGGAGTCCCCACAGAATCCGTGTCCTTACCTCTGTATTCACTTGTGTGAAGCCTGGCACGTTGCAGATATAGAAAAATTATTAAATGAATAATTTGCTATGTAGTAGTCATTTTAAAAATAAAACTCAAGTCCTATGGTGCTCTTAAGGATTACATTTTCGGTATCAATGATACCACATTATTTCAGTATGGAAGAGATGACAAATAGAAAACCCTACTAATCAATACTGATCTTTTAAACACACAGACTAATTTTCCCAAAACAAAACTCAATGGCTTCCTCTTTTTTCTTCCCTTTAAAACAGGTTCATGTGTCTAACCCTCTATTATATGGGCTTGTATCCCACCCATGTCCAGGGATATCCAGGTAAAGATACTATTGAGGTATGGTGTCTGTAGCCTGAGTGGGTTCAAGACTCTTAAGTATGCAAGGCTGAAGCAGAGTAGAGGGAGGTAAATTCCATCTGGGAAGCAAACCATGAGTCTAATGCAAAGGGCAACATGTGGGCAGACAGGAGAAAGAGAAGCAGAGCTGGCAACCGAGTGTCCAGTGCAGACAGAGCTATGTGCTGAAAACATGTCAAATGGAGCAGCTCTGGAATTTTGCCGTGACCAGCAAAGATGAGGCAGGCTAGCCCCTGTCCAGCACACCTAGCGGATTTGAGTGTGCTGATTGGGAATTCAGGCCCAGATGAAGAGCATCCTCCAACCCACGTATGGTAGAGGTCCAACTGCACACTAACCCACCCTACTCCTTCCTACCTCCAGGATGTGCTAGAACCTCTGAATTTCCCTTTACGTTCTCCCCTTAAAACTTTTACTGAGCAGTTGCAAATTTCTGACACTATCCTACATGAGAAACATAGCCACGAACATGGCAGATATAGTCCCTGCTCTCTTAGACAGTTTCCTTGGGATCCAGTGAGCCTTGTGTATTCTTCTCACAGAACTAAAGAGCAGAGTAATCTTACTGGATGTTTTCTTAAATTAAACACTTATTAATCTTCCATATATCACCTTTTGTAGGAACTCAAGAGTTATGAGTGGCTCTCACCATACCAATGCTTTCTGACTGCGCTCCTCTTTACCTGGAATACAAGAGACCCTAATAGGCAGGAACATCATCGCCCCTATTCAACCTCAAGAAGTTACAGAAGATGGATCTTCATCCCTCTACAACCTTTAGGATTCAGGGTTCTCTTATAAAAGGGAGGGGGGAAATATCAGAAGTATTTCAACCAGAACAACTCCATCTTGAGTAGGGCCTTGGTAAAATAAGGCTGAGAGCTACTGGGCTGTATTCCCAAGAGGTTAAAGCATTCTTAATCACAAGATGAGATAGAAGGTCATCACAAGATATAGGTTATAAAGACCTTGCTGATAAAGCAGGTTGCAGTAAAGAAGCCAGCCAAAAGCCACCAAAACCAAGATGGCAATGAGAGTGATCTCTGGTCGTCCTCGCTGCTACACTCACACCAGCATCATGACAGTTTACAGATGCCATGGCAATGTCAGGAAGTTACCCTATATGATCTAAAAAGGGGAGTCATAAATAATCCACTCCTTGTTAGCATATAATCAATAAATAACCATAAAAATGGGCAACCATAGGCTCTGTCTGTGGAGACTAGCCATTCTTTATTTCTTTACTTTCTTAATAAACTTGCTTTCACTTTACTCAAAAACAAAACAAAAAGTTTACCTAGCACTACTTTCTTTATAAAGCTCCCCAGACCCATTTTATTCCCTGGGTTTCTCATTCAACAATAGAGGGGCAGTCTGACTTCCATCTTCCCTCTCTGTTGCCACTCAGCCCATTCACTTTTTAAGGTTTTACTGCCAAGCATTCCTGTAAAATGCTACTAGTTAATATTCTTTCCCTATTCATTTCATATACCCTTCTTTAGGTGATATTTGATTGGAGTTTTGCCTTTATGTATTATGTCTGTGTTGGCCTTTAGACTTTGCCCCTCACTTCATCAGACAGCTAATGCCATCTTCTGGGTTCAAAGGATTTGGCTTTGGGAGGTCAAATTTTGTTCTTATTTAAGGAAGCCAAGCACAAGCTCCAGCATCTCCACATGCCAGTCTGTCCTTTCCAGCCCTTCTGATTCTCCCTCACCAAAGGTCACTACTCAGTGGTTTATAAGCCAAGTCACTAAAAGCTTCTGCATTGCTTGGCGACTGCCATTTTCTTTTATTTTGAGACAGGGTTTCACTCTATCACCCAGGCTGGAATATAGTGGCATGATTATAGCCCACTGTATCCTTGAACTCCTGGGCTCAAGTGATCCTCTTGCCTCATCCTCCTGAGTATCTAGGACTACAGGCATGCACCACCACACTGAGCTAATTTGTTTAAATTTTTTGTAGAGATGGGGTCTCTCTGTGTTGCCCAGGCTGGTCTCAAACTCCTGGTCTCAAGTGATCCTCCCACGTCAGCCTCCACACAACTCTACCACTTTCTACTCTTGCAATTAATCTGTAAGATCCTTCAATTATGGAAATGTTTCCTTCATATCTTCCCAATTAATGATGCTTCTATGTTTTAAAAAAAGGAAAGGAATATTCAGGGAAACATAGCAGACACACACACACAAGGAACAATGTTATATGAAGACAGAGGCACAGATGGGAGGGATGCAGTTAAAAGCCAAAAAATGCCACGGGTTTCCAGCAATCAACAGAAGCTGGGAGAGAGGCAAGGAACAGATTCTGCCTCAGAATCTCCAGAAGGAGCCAACCCTGCCAACACCCTGATTTCAAACTTCCAGCCTCTGAGAAATATGAGAGAATAAATTTATGTTTGTTAAGCCACCTGGTTGTGGTCACTTGTTACAGCAGCCCTAAGAAACTAATACAGTCTCTAATTCCCAATATCTAATAATGCAGGTGATGCCCACCATTTATGAGCAGTGTGACTTTGCCAGGTCCCATTATCTCCATATCTAAAATGAGAATAATAATGGCAGCTCTCTCCAGAACTGCTATGAGGATCAAATGCAGTAAGGCTATGAAAAAAAAAAAAACACTTCATAACCTATAATGAGCAACATAAATACTAGTAATTGGAATTAGAGTATGAATTAAGTTATGAGGAATGAAGGAAGAAAAGACGGAAAACAAGGGCAGGGAAAGGGAAGGGGAAAATAAAGTAAATTAGTTTTTATTTCTAAGAGGAAACACCATTTCCATTAATTCCTTGCATATTTTTATTATGTTAGAAATGTAGTACTTTAGTCTTTCTAGATAATTAATCTTCATTTAAAGACACTTAAGGAGGGAGCCAACAAAAACACAAGATTACGTAAGACTTTCTATTGTCAAGAAGTGAGAAATTAATAGTTAACACCTACTAAAAATTTTCTAGTTGCCAGAGATTCTACTAAGCATTTTGTCTGCATCATCTCATTTAGTTCTCACAACTCTACAAGGTAAGGACTATATACATTAAGAAACCCAGGATTTAGGAGGCTTCACAATTAGCCCAAAGTCACAATGTCAACCAACTTCGGCCTGATTTCCAAACCTGCTTGTGGAACACTACCACATACTACCTTGCTCTCACAACCAGCAAATCAAGAAAACACACCTGCTCCCTACCGGGGTCACCCCTAGCTGTGACACTTACACACCCCTTCCATCACCTCCCCATGAGGACTCACTCCTTTCCCCAAACTCCTAAGCTCAATGGCAGGTGTGTCACTGCCCTCACTAATGTGCACTTCAAGGCTGTTATTCACCTCCTGGAATCTGAACTGCTGCCTCCTACTTGGGCAATTTTCCAACCATTTAGTGGCATAGTCATCAGAGACAAGAATGTAAACATTTCCTCCCCACAGCCTGGGAAGAGGGCCAGAGGACTCAACCTTGGTGACTTCCCTATGGGAAGCTGCTCCGGGGGCAATTCCATGGAATCAGGCTTCCCAGGTGGCAAAATTGGAGAGGATGAAATCATTTCTTGCCCCCCATTTTCCTGTCACGTCAATAGAACTGATATCAAAAGTCAACCAAGATACAGCAATAAAAAGAAGCAAAACAATAAGCTTGCCACTATACAAATGAGCCTCATTACACTAAATGAAACAAGCCAGCCACAAAAGGCACATATTGGATAAATTCATTTGTATGAACTGCCCAGAAAAGCAAATGGATAGAAGCAGAAAGTAAATCAGTGATCATCCAGGGTTTATGGGTTACATATATAAACCACGAACAGGTATGAGGAATCTTCTTGAGGCGATGAAAGTGTTCGAAAACTGGATTGTGATGATAAGTAGCACTTTATAGTGTTTACTAAAAATCATTGAATTGTACACTTAAAAGAGGTGAATTTCATAGTATGTAAAAATTATACTCCAATAAATGCATTCTTTAATAAAAATAAAATCAGGCTTTCTAAAATTCCCAAATTGACTTATTAAATGGAAATCCTAGAAACAGACCTGAGACATCAAGTAGCAAATATATACTCCAAAATTCAAAAGATGTCTGATTTTAGAAGCTTTGCTTATATTACCAAATTTTCTTTCAATTCAGGAAGTACAAAGAGAGGAGCCTTTCATTTTTCACTATTGCACAGATAGATTCTTCTGCCCACTGACAAATACAACTGACATCTTTTCCTTGGAATTTCATGGGAATCTAGCTATTTGGAGGCCATTTCAACTCTATCACTAGTTATATTAAAACTCTAGCTAAGTTATTTCATCCCTCTGGGCTTCAGAGTCTTCATCTGCAGAAGGAGAAGGTTGGTCAACATTATTAACTCTAAGACTCCTTCCATTTCAGACCTTTTATTATATTAATAATAATGCCTGCTACATGCCAGATACTATGTGAAGCAATATCTACATATGTTTAGTCTTCTCAACAACCTTAAGGAGGAAAAATTATTAGCCACATCTTATAAATGAAGGGACTCAGCTTCCAAGTGGTTGTAATTTTTACCCAAAGTTATACAACTAGCAAACAACAGAACCAAGATTTACATCAATGTTTCAACTATAAATCACACTGTTCCCAACTCTCTTCCAATCTCAAAGTAGACAATAGCACTATCTTGATAAATTCCCCAAATGAGGAGAAATTGGAGACTAAGAATGTTCTCTTTAGAATCCCATATGCATTTCATATAGGCACAAAATACAAATAATACCTCCTAGAAGAGGCACACACACACACTGCACTCTATGCAGTGTTTCACAGACAAATTAAAATGCACATACAGTAGTACCCTAAGCCAGGAATGTAAAACTGTGGTACAGATGAAGTTCTATGGCTAAATAAGAATACAACAAGATGATTATAAACTTGTATAAATATATTATATTTGCATGTATTGTGTATGTGCACACACATGTATGCATGGCTAAAGTTAGGAAATACAACTCGATAAATGGTTTTGGTGTTTCCTGCAAGGTGCAAAAGCTGATTTGGAAAATACAGATTGCCTAGTAAAAATGCAATAATTTTCAAGATTTTGAGTTGGTTTATTATAGACAAACATCAGAACTTTTTCACTCATATGCCATCTAGAATGAAGCATGGCCTCATATCTGTGGTTCAAAGATAAGAACTAACTCTACCTAGTAAATACTGAGTCACTCTGGTGCACTTCTTTAAGGAAACCTTCTCAAGGGATTTTATAAGAGCATCAAAGTCATCACACATGGTAGAAACTATTTACAAACACTTCCCAGACACTATAACCACCAGCACAATTGTGACCACAACCACCCCAAAATGCTTATTCCACAAATTACTCCAGTCCATCTAATGCATTTGTCTACCTCTGACCAGGGCACCTGAGTTTCTTCAGTGAGAAATCATGGTTACAAGCCTTCGCCAGTACCTGGCTTTCTCAAACTCAATCCCACCAGCTACTGGGCTGTCAGCCACATGCAGGTTCAATCCACAAGCCTTGAGGCAATCAATGTAAGCCAGAACAACTACCCACTAGTCAGGTGGGTCTAGAAATAGTCAATTGGATAGTACGTTATTACGAGCCACTGGGAAGGTCTTAGACCCTGGTAAGGTCATAATCTGTGGCCAGTTCATCTAGTGACAAGAGGATGTGTCCAAACTGCCTAACTGGCCTTTTATTTTTTTTTCCTGGACCCTGATATGAATTATCTGCATCTTTTGAAAATTTCAGTCAAAAAGGAGCATGCTATATTTCGAGCATGGATTTACTCTAGTTTTGACAATTTAAAGAAAATCTACCCATTTTTTTCCTGCCAATATCCTCTAAAAAGATTCCATAACATTGCTAACATAAGAATCTCTCGACTTGGGACCAAATTCTCAAATCCCGTGTTAGTTTTCCACTCCTGGTTCTTCTAGCTCTGAGGTTTTGTTCCTTCCTCTAAGCATGATCCAGTTCTGGGCATAAACTGGGCTTTTCTCTTTCCTTCTTGCATGACCTTGGGCAAGTTTATTAACCCCTTTGAGGCTCCACTTCTTATCAAATGGAGGTAACAACTTTCCAATAAAGCTATTGAGGGGCTTACATAAGATAATATGTGTAACATCCCAATAGTGCCTGACACATATTCAATACATTCTGGTGTCTCTTTCTCTGCTGTCTTTGGATTATACACAATTTGAGGACAAGCAGTGAGAATTCACCTTTGATTTTCCCACAATACTTCATGATAGTCTAAAGAAGAAAAACAGGAAATTGGCCCCCACTCAAAAGAAGACATTTATGCAGCCAACAGACACATGAAAAAATGCCCATCATCACTGGCCATCAGAGAAATGCAAATCAAAACCACAATGAGATACCATCTCACACCAGTTAGAATGGCGATCATGAAAAAGTCAGGAAACAACAGGTGCTGGAGAGGATGTGGAGAAATAGGAACACTTTTACACTGTCGGTGGGACTGTAAACTAGTTCAACCATCATGGAAGACTGTGGCAATTCCTCAAGGATCTAGAACTAGAAATACCATTTGACCCAGCCATCCCATTACTGGGTATATACCCATAGGATTATAAATCATGCTGCTATAAAGACACCTGCACACGTATGTTTATTGCGGTACTATTCACAATAGCAAAGACTTGGAACCAACCCAAATGTCCATCAATGATAGAATGGATTAAGAAAATGTGGCACATATACACCATGGAATACTATGCAGCCATAAAAAAGGATGAGTTCATGTCCTTTGTAGGGACATGGATGAAGCTGGAAACCATCATTCTCAGCAAACTATGGCAAGGACAAAAAACCAAACACCATATGTTCTCACTCATAGGTGGGAATTGAACAATGAGAACACTTGGACACAGGAAGGGGAACATCACACACTGGGGCCTGTCGTGGGGTGGGGGGAGGGGGGAGGGATAGCATTAGGAGATATACCTAACGAAAATGATGAGTTAATGGGTGCAGCACACCAATATGGCACATGTATACATATGTAACAAACCTGCACGTTGTGCACATGTACCCTAGAACTTAAAGTATAACAAAAATAAAATAAAATAATAAAAAGAAAAAAAGAAGAAAAACAGGAAATAACAAACATTTGTTGAATGCATAAATAACACTGTGCAATAAACTACAGCAAATTTTCCTTTCATCTACCAAAGACAGCAATCCTAATTAAGCTCCCAAAGCACAAGGCAGTCACATTAGAAACTTTGAGAAAGACAATATTTTACATCCTTGTCCACTACCTGATGATCATAAAACCACTTCACTCATTATATAACAATAATACATATTATATATTCTATTTTTGAGAGCTTTCTGTATGTCTAGATATTGTGTAATTGCTTTACAGACATTACCTTACACAGTATTTCTGAATAAATCTGAGATCACCTCCCACTTGAAAGGTAGAAATGCCAAATATGAATTTTCTCTGCCCCCCACCCCATTTACAGCATGGATAGGTAAGAAAGGTTGTATCAGCCATAGGCACCCATGTTGAACTTCAATGGGGAACTAATGACAAAGCATGAAATGCTGTCGAAGAAATTGGTGACAGCAGAAACAACTCTCCCAAGACAGCAGGGAGGGTGCTTCCAGCAAGTGTTCCCATATCAGTGGGGCAAGTGGCCTATCAGAGCAATAATATGACTTTCATCTTGTTTCTAACTGTGACTACTAAGCCTGGTTTCCTGAACCTTCTAAGAATTCTATGAGCTTCCTAGTATTTTTTTAGTTAATTCTTTGAGGACTTAAATTAGCTTTTATTGATTTATAGTGCTCAAAATTAAGAAACTTAATGGATAAATGCAATAAGGCCTCAGGGAAAAAAGAAAATGGGGCCCTGTGGAAAAGATGCTTATAAATATGGCCTGCAGTAAAGAAAGAGAAATTATCCCCTGTGGTCACTTGAAATGATGTGCCCACTGAAGGCAAAGCTGGAGAGAACCACATGGCTTCTATTATAAAAACCAAATGAAGAGATTAAGAAATGTTTTTTGCTTATCCATTGTATGTTTATTGATTTCAGGTTACCATGAGGCTTGCAAATGGTATTTTATAACTCATTATTTTAAACTGATGACAACTTAACACTGATTGCATAAAGAAACTAACATACAAGTAACTAATAAAGTAACTAAGAACTAATAAAAGCTACATACTTTATCACCCTGCTTTTTAACTTTTTATTGTTTCTATTTATGTCTTATTGTACTGTCTATGTCTGCAAAAGTTGTTGTAGTTAGTTTTGAATTGTTCATCTTTTAGTCTTTCTACTGAAGGTATGAGTAGTTTATATATCACCATTACAGTGTTATAATATTCTGTGGTTTTCTGTATGCTTACTATTACCAGTGAGTTTTGTACCTTTGGATAATTTTTTATTGCTCAATAATGTCCTTTTTTTCAGACTGAAGAACTCCTCTTAGCATTTCTTCTAGGATAGGTCTAGCGCTGATGAAATCCCTCAGCTTTTGTTTGTCTAGGAAACTTTTTATTTCTCCTTCATGTTTGAAGGATATTTTCACCAGATATACTATTCTAGGGTAAGGTCATATGTCATGCCACTCTCTTCTGGCCCGTAAGGTTTCCACTGAAAAGTCTGCTGCCAGGCTATTGGAGCTCCATTATATGTAATCTGTTTCTTTTCTCTTGCTGCTTTTAGGATCCTTTATCCTTGACCTTTGGGAGTTTGATTATGAAATTTCTTGAGGTAGTCTTCTTTGGGTTAAATCCACTTGGTGTTCTATAAACTTCTCATAAGTGTATATTGATATCTTTCTCAAGGTTTGGGAAGTCCTCTGTTATTATCCTTTTGAATAAACTTTCCATCGCTATCTCTTTCTCTTCTTCCTCTTTAAGGCCAATAACTCTTAGATTTTCCCTTTTAAGGCTATTTTCTAGATCTTGTAGGCGTGCTTCATTCTTTTTTATTCTTTTTTTCTATTGTCTCCTCTGACTGTATATTTTCAATTAGCTTGTCTTCAAGCTAATTCTTTCTTCTGCTTGATAAGTTCTGCTATTAACAGACTGATGCATTCTTCAGTATGCCAATTTTATTTTTCAACTCCAGAATTTCTGCTTGACTTTTTTAGTTATTTGAATCTCTTTGTTGAATTTATCTGATAGGATTCTAAATTCCTTTTCTGTGTTTTCTTGAATTTCATTGAGTTTCCTCAAAACAGCTATTGAATTCACTATCTGAAAGGTCGCATAGCTCTGTCTTTCTGGAATTAGTTCCTGGTGCTTTATTTAATTCATCTGGTGTGGTCATGTTTTCCTGGATGATGTTGATGCTTATAGATGTTTGTTGGTGTCTGGGCATTGAAGGGTTATTTATTGTATGTAGTCTTCGCAGTCTGGGCTTATCTGTATACGTCCTTCTTGGGAAGGCTGTCCAGGTACTTGAAAGAACTTGGGTATTGTGATCTAAATTTTTGGTCACTACAGCCATATCTGCCTTAGGGGGCACCCCAAGCCCAGTAACACTAATTCTTGTAGACTCCTAGAGATACCACCTTGGTGGTCTTGGATAAGATCTGGACAAATACCCTGGATTATCAGGCAGAGACTGTTGTAGTCTTCCCTTACTTTCTCTCAAACACAGAGAGTCTCTCTATGTCCTGAGCTGCCTGGAGCTGGGGGAAAGGTGACAGAAGGCCACTCCTGTGGCCACCACCACTAGGACTACACTGGCTCAGACTTGAAGCCAGCATAGAATTGGGTCTCACCCAAGGCCTGCTATTGCCACTTCCTGGCTACCACCTATGTTCACTCAAGGCCTTAGATCTCTACAATCAGCAGGTGGTGAAGCAAAACAGGCTTGTGTCCTTTGGAGCAAGGAGTTCCCCCAGGCCCCAAGCAGGTCCAGAGATATTGACTAGGAGCCAGGGACTAGAGTCAAAAACCTTAGAAGTCTACCTAGTGCTCTATTCTACTGCAGCTATGCTTGTACACCCGAACCACAAGACAAAGTCCTTCCCATTGTTTCCTCCCCTTTCCACAGGCAGAGGAGTCTCTCCCCAGGGCCACCAGCACCACAGGCCAACAGGGAGTACTGCCAGGCTACTACCAATGTTTGCTTAAGGTCTAAGGGCTCTTCATTTAGCTGTGGTGAATGCTGCCTGGCCTGGGACTCACGCTTCAAGGCAGTCGTGTCCCCTCTGGCCCACAGCAGGTCCAGAAATGCCATCTAAAAGCCAAGGCCTGAAATCAGAGACCCTAAGAGCCCACATGGTGATCTACCTCACTGTGAACGAGCTGGCACCTAAGCTGCAAGACAAAGTTCCCTTTACTCTCCTCCTGGTTTTCTCAAGCAGAAGTTGTCTCTTCATAGCCACCACAGCTATAAATGTGCTGGGTTTCACCTGAAGCCAGCACATCTCAGAGTCTCACTCAAAGCCCATGGTGTGTTCTACTTGGCTATTGCTGCTGATTAGTGATGGCCCAAAAGGGCTCTTTAGTTGCCAGGTAATGAATCCTGTCATGACCGTGTCCTTCCCTTCAAGGAAAAATGTTCCCTTCTGACCCAGGTTGTGTCTAGAAATGTCCTCCAGAAGCTAGGGCCTGGAATAGAGGCCTTATGACTCTACCCAGTGCCCTATCCTACTATGCCTAAGCTGCTATCCAACTTGCAGAAGAAAGTCCTCTTTACTCTTCCCTCACTTCTCAAGTGGAAGGAAGGGGTCTCTTTTGGAGCTGCGAGCTGCACTGCCAGGGGCTGGGGGAGGGGCACTTGTCCACCTTGGCCAGTGTCTCACTAGGTTGTGTGCCCCCAAGTCCACTCGCTCCAAGCCCAGCACAGCACTGGGACCTCTCTAGGAGTTACAGTCTTTATGGCCTAGATTGTCTTTCAAGTTTATTTAGGACCCCAGAGCCCTTCAGCCTGTAGTGGTGAGGCTTGCTGAAACTCAAGTTCTGACTGCTGAGGTGGGTGATTCCCTTCTGGTTAGGGCTGGTCTAAATGCCTTCTCTTTGGGTGCCAGCTGAGCTCTGCCCAGCATTGCTTTCCACTGTGACAGGGCAGGACTGAGTTCCAATGCAAAGTCTCACAATCACTACATTCTCCCTCCCTGAAGCACCACACCATACCACGTGGCTGCTGCTAGGGAATAAGGGAGGGTTGGCTTCAGCAATTCAAGACTGTCTTTTCTACCCTCTTCAGTACCTCTCTCAGTGATATGAATTTAAAACCAGGTACTGTGATTGCTCACTTAATTTTGCATTCTTATGAAGGTGTTTGTCATGTAGATAGCTGTTAAATTTGATGTTCCTGCAGGGAGGATGACTGGTGGAGGGTTCTATTTGGCCATCTCGCTCCACTCTTTTACCCCAGAGCTTGAGAAACTAAACGACTGTTGATTTGGGAGTGGGGGTAGAGAGGATGCTTTTAAGAGTGTTGGAAACTTAAAGAAATAGTATGTCAAGCTCAAAATATTAGAATCTTGATTCAAGGCACAGGCAAAAAAAAAAAATCAGGAACTCTCTAAAGCTGTATTAAAATAATCTTTTATCTGTTACAGCTGCAGGGCTAAGATAGTTTTAAAAGAAATCAAACTCAGCTTTTCACCCTACAGTTTCCTGAAATAGTTATAATGTCCAATGAATTCACCTGGTCTGTTGTCCAATGTCCAATGAATTCACCTGGTCTCTTTAGAGAAGTTAAAGTATTGGTAGGGAATAATGGCATTGGAATAGGGAAATATTGGAAGCTATAATCCACACAATACCCTGACACTACACATCTACCACGACTTCCCTGGCAGAAGAGGCAAATTTTCTTCCCCAACATTGAAGCCATTTCTTCCTTGCTTGAAGACTCTGTAATGACTCAGGTTGTAGCGTGTTTTAAAAAAGGGATCCAGTCCTCATTCTCATCATGTTCTACCCAAGTTCAAACATATAATTAAGATGCCACAGGGAATAAAATGAAAACTCAGACCATGGAAGAAAAGGCTTAGTTACAGAAAGAAACTTGTAGAATATTAATAATTTACAAACCTGAAGAACATGTGCAGGAATGAATTTTGAGAACACCAGACCACAAAAGGAGAAAGTTGATGCAAAATTGGGGTGAACATATAATATGAATACTATTGCAACATCTTGGCATCAGCAGTGGGGAATGGTTGTAATTATTATATTATGTGCATTAGGGGACACTCCAAGCCCAGTAACACTGTAGTTCTTGTAGACTCCTAGAGATACCACCTTGGTGGTCAGTTGGTCAATCTAAACCTGTATTCAACAGTGGCCCAGCATTTATGAAGTTGAGATGCCATAAATACCTTGACAAGTAATATGCAGGAAGAAATGCAGAATCCAAAGAGATAGGAATGTTGGAGTAAACTTATCATGTCTTGTGAGCTACTCATTTAAGAAAACTCAGATGACTGTTTTTCCCAACAATGCGTTGAAAAATATTCTGCTGTGGAGAACACCAGGATCTTGGAAAGTATTTGGAAATTATATCCTATATGCCAGGGATGGTAATGAAAGTCACCATAGTTGACATTGGCTTCCTTATTTCAAAGGAAATGCCGGCATCCCCATGGGCCAAGGCCAGGCTCATCACTTATCATCTAGAGACAAGATAATGTAATGGGTGACAGGACCTGAGAAATAATCATAGGTGATTTCCCATGGAAAAGACAGATGCTGCACCACTTTCATCATCCCTGAGGGTTATGTCAGTGATCTGGTTTTTATGCCATAATTTAGTTTGCCAGAGTCCCGATCATCTTATCACACAGGACATCATGGTTGTGCAATAAGGTGATAACTTAATGCTAACAGATGCTAAAGAAACATAAACTAACAGTCCCCTAAATTTCTTGATAAGACATGATATCAGGTTGGAGATGATGATCACATGAAAATATAGGGGCCTGCCATTTTAGCAGACTCTCTGGGGGAATGACCTGGCGTATGTCAATACACCTGGAAGAGAAGGACAAGTAGCTGCATCTTGCACACAATACAAACTTAATATCTCTTTGGATTATGGTGGCAAAATATGCTTCTGAACATGATTTTCTGACCCACTAACCAGATGATACAAAAAACTGACAACTTCCCACTCTAAACAACTAGAAACTTTTAAACTTTAGCATATATAAAAATCACCTGGAGAGTTTGTTGAGGCAGATTTCTGATTTAAAAATTTCAGATGCTTCTTACCTCTGGAGTTTGATTCAGTAGAATTATGCTCAATAATTTACATTTCAAATAAGTTTTTATATGATACTGATGCTGCTGGTTCAGGAACCACAATTTGGGAACCACTGTCCTAGAATAAAAGAAAGTTATTCAGTTTCTTTGGGCCCTAATGCATAAATTTACTACTTATGATCTAGCTGATCAAGTGATGCTAAAGTATTTGTGTCAAGGTAGAATGCTGTATAGAACCTGTGGCAAGCCACAACTGGAAAAATCAAAGAGGTGGCCCCAAGAATTTGGAGACAAAGACAAGCCCTTTTTGGCATTTAGTAATTCCACCATTGTTGGAAAGCTCATGGGCCCTGGTAGAGACTGTACACTTGATCAAAGGAAGTAATGAGCCTAGAAAAGTTAAGTAATTTTATTTCTGTTAATAAGGACTAAAGTCAGGGCTTAATTCCCAAATGGTTAGATTTCAAATCTATCATCTCATCAGTGCCATTTCCTGCCTCTCTAAGATACCGCATGTCAGGCTTGGCTTATATTTGTGGTTATAGTAAGATAACTGGCCTATCACTGCTTCTCTATGATATATTTGACAATGACATATTTTAGATTTTGTATAATTTCAAAGGATGTACATCCTTGAGTCCAAATAAGAATTTTAGCTCTGGCTCATCTTTGGGCTTCATTTTTCTTACCTGTAAAACAAGAAGCTTGATTTGATATTACAACTTTATCCTAGCTCTAAATTTTTATGAGTATACTTCTTAGGTCTTTCATGTATACTATGTATCTATTCCCCCCAAAATCCTAGATTCTTCATCAATATTTGCAATGCTTCCAAATGTTATGAGCACTTTACATTTAATTCTTGCTGTGCCATATTCAGTAACAGTGACAAACTATAAAATAAAAAAGGACTATTTTTCCTGCAGTTTTCAATTGCATTAATCACCTTTCTTTAAAAGCTCCAGTGAGTTTTCCCATATTTGTACTTAAGATAATTTATACATTTTTCTTTTCCCATATACTTTATATCTCAGAGCACTAAATCCATTAGTCTCCAGACTGCCACAAAAGACCTTCCCCACCTAATGAGCTAAACTTAACACAGCAATGACACGTTCTATTCTATGGGCTGTAAATAGTTGCCAATATTAACAGAAGCTCAGGTGTCTCCACTCAAAAAGTCTCAAGACAAATTCAGATGGTGACATTTTCTTCCATAATTCTTTTATTTCTGTACCAATTTAAGTGATTTTCAGAGGCTGCTAAATGTCATCTAAGTTACCTGAAGCTTGAGAAACTATTTTGAAGAGATTTTTTTTAATGCAATTATACCTCTATTTGACAACACCATCTGCTCCTAGCATCTTACTTTGTCAGCTTCCGGTTCAGTTAACTCGTTAATCACTGCAATTATCTGAATGCTGATGGATCTTTGCAACACAAACAAATGAGAGTACAAAAAATTAGGGATGTATCTACCCTTATAAGGGTCAAAATTACCAGGAACTCAGTTATAATAAGCCCAATGTTTCTGTTTCTAGGGTAAGAAGCTACCAACTTAGAAATCTATTACTTAGTAAGTATGGCATGATTTCACTTCTGCATTTTCTTGGGAGACTGATGTATTGTTTTAGGAAGACCAAAATGAAGCACTACCTGTTGTTATGAGAGAACTGTTAAGTATTTTTTCTTACTTATATCTACAATATCGGGAAGTATGGCAGACTACCACAGCATCACCCTGACAATGAAGAGGGTAATTCTCACTTCACAAAGGAGAGAGAATACCCAGTCTTGTTTTCCCCAAAACACTTCAGACAAAGGGATTTCTGAATCTTCATCCAAACATGGGGATTAAGGGTAGTGCCAGGACTTAAGATTACAGTGTTAAATATCACAGGCCTGTGATGAAGCTATTGTTCCTTAAGTAAGACTTTTTGGAGACAATTGGAGAAATTTGAGTGTGGACAGAATATTAGATGATGTTGGAATGGTATTGTTAATTTTTCTTAAGATGTAATAATGGTAATATAATTAGTCGGGGTAAAGTTTATATTTTTAGAACATTTATCAAACATGTTTAGGAAAAAAGTATCAATGTCTACAACATCCTTGTAAATAGTTCAGCAAAAAAAATAAATAGTTGGTAGGTGGGGAGAGGAAGGGAGAAAGAGAAAGAATGAAGAATGACAAAATGTTAACAATTGCTGATGTTAGCAATTGTTGAAACTACTCTATTAGGCTTTACAGTTAATAATTATGAAGACCTATACTAATCCTACCCTGGAATTGTCATGACCTCAAGATTATGTTCAGCTCCATTAGGCTAAGAAGCTACCACTGACAGCCTGTACATTGCAGTCTTGACCTTGTACCCCAAAAATGTGTATCCTAAAGAGCTATACTAAAATATCACTGCTAAAATGAAAGAACAGGGCATGTTGAGACTTCATAGGCAAAATGTTAAACATGGACTCAATTCCTCTTCATAGAGATCCAAATTTATTTGGTAAAATGGTATAGAGCTTCATCCTTTCTAAAAACTTCTGGATATTCAGTCTATTAGCAGCCTAACACCCACCTTAGTAGAAAAATAGCCACCATTTACACCTAACTAGATTTTTT
Organism: Homo sapiens; assembly: GCF_000001405.40. NCBI lineage: Eukaryota > Metazoa > Chordata > Mammalia > Primates > Hominidae > Homo > Homo sapiens. The sequence continues at coordinate 51,878,509 of NC_000018.10, read as the reverse complement.
AACATGTCTGATCTGGTTGACACAAGAGAGAGAACTGAAAGCAGGACTAAAATTTGTATACATTATATTCTCTCCAACTATACTGCAACGTGTTCAGCTTCAGTTATGCAATATAGGTATTTTAGCATGTCATGAATGATTCATTCTTTGACCTTTTAAACTACTACATAATTGTGGATCTAGAAGACATTTTGATGTATTCTGAGACCCTGAACAAAATATTGCTAATGTTCATTTGTTATTGGCCTGCCCCCAAGAATGCTAACTCTACATCAAGTTTAAGAAATATATAGTTGATTTAACTCAGATAGAAAACTGAGACACACCATTTTCCTTCAAGATGTCTAGATGGATTAACAAAACGTCACTACCACCTTGAGTTGATAACCTTCTAGTTCCCTCTAAGGACACTTAATCCTTCCTAAGATTTTCTGGGCATAAATACTGCTTTATTATATATTTTTCTAACTTAACTACTACAATCACTAACTTGTATATAAAAACCTAAGCATATCATTGATCAAAAATATAAAAGTATCTTCAGATACTTTAAGGCCAATTTATAACTGTCCCCATTCATAGTTTTTCTGTATATACAGTTATATTTCATCACTTATGTAGATTCCTTCTGCAGAGTTGCAGTAGTCATATCTTCCCAATGAGGCAGGGAAACTTACCCACCATGGTTCAGTAGTGTTCTGGTAAACTAGTGATTTATAACTGTCCCCATTCATAGTTTTTCTGTATATACAGTTATATTTCATCATTTATGTAGATTACTTCTGCAGAGTTGCAGTAGTCATATCTTCCCAATGAGGCAAGGAAACTTACACCATGATTCAGTAGTGTCCTAGTAAACTAGCGTACACACCCATCACTTGTATTTGTAATATTTGTTCATTTTTCTGATGCACTTATCTCCATTATGGCCAGTTTCAAGTTACCAAGAGTTTAGCCACCTGCTCACAAAATTCCTGAATAATTACCTTTCCCAAGCAGATACACACCATCTCTAGCACCCCACCAGTCCTAAGCCTACTTCTTCTGACTTATCAGTACAGAACCAAACCATATAAGTTAGTAGCTGTTATTAAATATCAAAGCCATATTTAAGATCTGTCTATAACACCAAGCAAGATCCAGGTATCTCAATTCATTTTCTTTTTTTTAGATTTTTTTTATTATTATACTTTAAGTTCTAGGGTACATGTACACAATGTGCAGGTTCGTTAACATATGTATACATATGCCATGTTTGTGTGCTGCACCCATTAACTCGTCATTTACATTAGGTATATCTCCTAATGCTATCCCTCCCCCCTTCCCCCACCCCACGACAGGCCCTGGTGTGTGATGTTCCCCACCCTGTGTCCAAGTGTTCTCATTGTTCAATTCCCACCTATGACTGAGAACATGCAGTGTTTGTTTTTCTTGTCCCTGTGATAGTTTGCTGAGAATGATGGTTTCCAGCTTCATCCATGTCCCTACAAAGGACACAAACTCATCCTTTTTTATGGCTGCATAGTATTCCATGGTGTATATGTGCCACATTTTCTTAATCCAGTCTATCACTGATGGACATTTGGGTTGGTTCCAAGTCTTTGCCATTGTGAATAGTGCCGCAATAAACATACACGTGCATGTGTCTTTATAGCAGCATGATTTATAATCCTTTGGGTACATACCCAGTAATGGGATGGCTGGGTCAAATGGTATTTCTAGTTCTAGACCCTTGAGGAATCGCCACACTGTCTTCCACAATGGTTGAACTAATGTACACTCCCACCGACAGTGTAAAAGTGTTCCTATTTCTCCACATCCTCTCCAGCACCTGTTGTTTCCTGACTTTTTAATGACTGCCATTCTAACTGGTATGAGATGGTATCTCTTTGTGGTTTTGCTTTGCATTTCTCTGATAGCCAGTGATGATGAGCATTTTTTCATGTGTCTGTTGGCTGCATAAATGTCTTCTTTTGAGAAGTGTTCTGTTCATATCCTTCACTCACTTTTTGATGGGGTTGTCTGTTTTTTTTTCTTGTAAATTTGTTTGAGTTCTTTGTAGATTCTGGATATTAGCCCTTTGTCAAATAAGTAGATTGCAAAAATTTTCTCCCATTCTGTAGGTTGCCTGTTCACTCTGATAGTAGCAAAAGAAACTACCATCAATTCATTTTCATTCACTAACTCATTCACTCAACAAATAGAATGTTTGGGTTCCAACATAATCAGCATTTGTAACCAACATGTAACTCTGTGAATCATGAGAAAATCTATCAGACACAGGATTTTTTTCTCCCCTGTCAATTTCCATGTATGAAAATTAAATATTCAAATAGCTTATTTTTCGGTTTTATCATCTATAAAATGAAATGGGTATATAGCAACAACATATCTATCCTGTAGATAATAGATGTAATTACATAAAGATAAAAATAGACTTGAAGAATACTAATATGATTTGGCTCTGTGTCCCCACCCAAATCTCATGTTGAATTGTAATCCCCAATGTTGGATGAGGGACTTGATGGGAAGTGATTGGATCATGCAGGGAGATTTCCCCCTTGCTGTTCTCATGATAGTGAGTTATCACAAGATCTGGTTGTTTGAAAGTGTGTAGCACTTCCCTCTTCACTCGTGCTCTCTCTCTCTTACCAGCCATGTAAAGATGTGCTTGCTTCTCCTTTCCCTCTTCCCCCAGCCATGATTGTACATTTCCTGAGGCCTCCCCAGCCATGCCTTCTGTACAGCCTGCATAACTGTGAGTCAATTAAACACCTTTTTTTTAATAAACTACCCAGTCTCAGGTAGTTCTTTATTGCAATGTGAGAACAGATGATACAAGTACACATTTCCAAAATGTAATATAATATGTCCCTTGCTACACGCTTGTCTACAACGTGACCTTCCCCCTCAAGATCACATTATCAATATGTAGAGTCTTTGTACTCTCCCTTTCATTCTGAGCAGACTCTGTGAGCTGCTTGGGCCAATAGAGTATGGTGGAAATAACACTCTACTCCAGCCTCTGACTGGGTTTTTATTCCTTTCCTTATATTCATCATCATGGGAGACTTTAATGGTTATATTGATAAGTAACAAAATATATGGAAATCCCATCTATAAGGCATTGAATGATTAGTTGTTCAGTAAGTATTGAAATGATTCCACTCTCAAGGAAATTTCTGACACAGTTTTAGAGTACATGTCTTTTGAGTCATAGAGCTTCATAAGGAAAAGATGGTACATTCCATGTTCACCACTGTATCTCTAGGGTTTAGCATTACATCTGGCAGTTAGTGGGCATTTAAAGTATATTTGGTGAATAAATGAGTGAATACATTGACCCAGGAAGCACATTTCAATAAGATAGAGGCCTACATAAGAATAATTGTCTCTTTTTTTCCTCCAAGATGGTGGATTAGGGGTTTTCAGCATGGCTCAGCCACTTGGAAATTGTGAGACAGTACATAAAGATCAACTGTGGGAGCTTTAAGTCAAGAAGAAAAACAGGAATCAACCAGAATTGTAAAAGACACCCCAGATTGAGGAGAGGAGGATGGTGGCAAGCAGCCCCCATGACAGCACCTAGTTGACAGAAGTGAGTGAAGTCCCAGTACGTGAGAGAGGCAGAGAGCCTCTCTCTGTAACTTAACTTCCCACTGGGGATCTGAGCAACTGAGGCTGAGGAAGAACATTTTGTTTCTCCCAAGTTCTGGAGCTAACTTGTGGAGAGCCCTGGAGATACTGTGAGGGAAAGAGACACTTGGAAAAGCTGCAGACATTTTCCCAGACCAAGGACCAAGAACAGGATGCCATTTTTTAATCTGGGCACATCCAAATTCAGCTATTACTTGGCAACCCAGCAGTGTGGCTACACAGGCATCTTAGTCAGGCCAGAGATTGGAGCACCTCCTCTGGAATGGGGTGAGGCCCCCCACAGCCAGAACTGTGGAAATCGCCTCAGCAGTAGGGCTAAAATTGTGCTTTACCCTGTTGCAAGCCTGGAGCAGGAGGAGAGCTGCTACATCTACAGTTAGAACTAGCTTGATGAACTGGAACTGATCTATGTGTACCATTGCTGGGTACTCCACCCTGCTTTCCTGAGATCGTGGTACAGCGTGAGGCCCTCTCTGTTCCACCCCTAGGCAGAAATCCAGGCATTTGGGGCACCTACTTTCCTGGAACAGTAGCTAGAGCTGCCCCACCCTTCCTACACATTAATCATGATGCAGCGAGACTCTCTCTGCTCCACATGAAGGCAGATCTCCAGGCACTCAGGGCACAAGATCACTTGGATAAGGAGCCTGAGATACCCCACCCTTCCTGTGCATATATCCTGGTGTTGGAGGGTGGGATCTCTGCTCCGTGCTCAGGCAGATCTTTAGGCATCTGGAGCACCTACTCTTCTAGATTAGAAGTTTAGATCATCTTCCATCCCTGTTCAGAGAACTTGGAGCTGAGGTAGTTTCCCAGCCTCACAACTAGGCACCCTTCTCACTGCTTGGTGGCTGCCCACAGGATTCTTTCTCGGTGTTGGTGCCTGTGCCTGCCATTGGAGGACCCCCAGGCAGACCTGTCTGGTATGGCCCTGCCCTTCATTGCCCCCACTCCCCTTAGGTCTGAGCAGGGAGCTCAGGCCACTATAAATTACATGAATCAGCCCACACTGCCTGAGGTAACAGAGAACTTCTGCCAGTAAACAAGGGTTAAATATATACCCAGCCACGTTTGCCACAGCTGGCTTTTACCTGTAAGCACCATCTATGGGCTTGTAGGTTGAACTCTATAGCCCCATATAAAACCTGCCAAAAGAAATGCATATGGCTATAGAAGCAAATCCAAAACACCCTACCCAGCATTCTCTATAGTCACACACCCTAAGGAGAGGGGAAAGGGGAAAAAAACCCAACAAATTTATACGTTAAAAAATAAAAATTTAAAATTCTACACACAGGAAAATAATTCTAAAACTAGAATTACCAGTGCATCCAGATGCAAAAGAATGAGTGCAATAATTCTGGCATCATGAAAAATCTGAATGTAGTAACACCGCCAAATAATTGCACTGGATCTCCAGCAATGATCCTTACCAAAATGGAAACTCAGAAATGACACAATAAAGAATTAACAGCATGGATTCAAGGAAGTCAATGAGATCTAAGACAAGGTTGAAAATCAACACAAAGAAGTTTTAAAGCAATCTGGGAAATGAGGAAAGAGATAAACATCTTTAAAAGAAATCAATCAGAGCCTCTGGAATTTAAAAACTCACTTATGGAATTTCAAAATATAACTGAAAGCTTTATCAGTAGACTCGATCAAGCAGAAGAAAGAATTTCAGAGCTTGAAGACTGTTCTTTTCAACCAACCCAGTCAGACAAAAATTAAAAAAAAAACAAAATTTTAAAAAACAAGCAAAGTCTTTGAGGAATATGGGATATGTGAAACAACCAAACCTATGGATTATTGGCATTCCTGAGAGAGAAGCAGAATAATAAACAACCTCTAAAATATATTTGAGAGAATAATCCAAGAAAACTTCTCTAATCTTGTTAGAGAGGTAGACACCCATTTATTAGAAATCCAGAGAATACCTGCAAAACACTATACAAAATGAACATCACCAAGGCATCTCTACTCACCAGACTGTCCACAGCCAACACTGAAGAAAAAAACCTTAAAGGAAACTAGACGAAAAGAACAGATTATGTACAATGGAAAACCCCACCAGGCTAACAGCAGATTTATCAGCAGAAACCTGACAAGTCAGGTATATTAGTCTGTTCTCACACTGCTAATAAAGACATACCTGAGACTGGGTAATTTATAAAGGAAAGAGGTTTAATTGACTCACAGTTCAGCATGTCTGGGGAGGCCTCAGGAAATTTATGGTCATGGAAGAAAGGGAAGCAAATACATCTTTCCTCACAGGGTGGCAGGAAGAAGAATGAGAGCCAAGCAAAGAGGGAAGCCCCTTATAAAACCATCAGGTCTCGTGAGAACTTACTCACTATCATGAGAATAGCATGGAGGAAACTGCCCCATGATTTTATGTCCCACGGGGTCCCTCCCACCACATGTGGAGATTATGGGAATTACAAATCAAGATGAGATTTGGGTGGGGACACGCAAAACCATATCATCAGGAGAGATTGGGGGCCTGTTTTCAGCATTCTTTAAAAAAGAAATTCCAACTAAGAATTTTGTATCCTGCCAAACTAAGTGTCATAAGTGAAGAAAAAGTAAATTTTTTTTCCAGACAAGCAAGCATCAAGGGAATGTATTACAACTAGCGAGCCTTACAAAGGATCTTTAAGGGAGTTCTAAAGATGGAAACAAAATAATGATACCTGCTACCACTAAAAGACACACATACGTAAATAGCCTACCCTATAAAGCAATCACATGATAAAAACTACAAAGTAACCAGATAACAACTTCATGATAGGATCAAAACCTAACATATAAGTATTAACCTTGACTGTAAATGACCTAAATACCCCACTTAAAAGACACAGAGTGACAAGTTGAATAAAAAGTATAACTCCCATCCATTCACTGTTTTCAAGAGACTCATCTCACATGTAATGACACCCACAGGCTCAAAGTAAAGGGTTGGAGAAAGATCTACAATGCAAACAGAAAACAGAAAATACCAGAGGTCACTATTTTTATGTCAGATAAAAGAGATTTTAAATCAACAACAGTAAAACAAAAGGACAAAGAAGGGCATTATATGATGATAAAGTGTTTCACTCACCAAGGAGACATAACTATCCCAAATATAAAATGCACCCAACATTGAAGCATCCAGATTCATAAAACAAGTACTTCTAGACGTACAAAAAAAAAGACTTGAAGAACTACACAGTAATAGTGGGGAACTTCAACACCCCGCTGACAGCATTAGATAGGTCATTGAGGCAGGAATCTAATAAAGAAATTCTGAACTGAAACTTGACACTTAGCGAATAGAGTATGGGCCAATGGAGTATGGCGGGAAGATCACATACAGGTACAGAACAGAGATGTACAGAATACTCCACCTATCAACTACAAATACATGTTCCTCTCATCTGCACACACAACATACTTCAAGATTGTCCCCATGCTCAGCCATAAAGCAATTCCCAATGAATTTTTAAAAATCATGCTAACCATACTCTTGGACCACAGTGGAATAAAAATAGAAAATCAATATCAAGAAGATTTCTCAAAAATCACACAATTACATGGAAATTTAACAACTTCCTCCTGAATGACTTTTGTGTAAACAATGAAATCAAGGCAGAAATTTTAAAATTTTTGAAATAAATGCAAACAGAAACACAATATACCAAACTATCTGGGATGCTGCAAAAGCAATGTTAAGAGGAAAGTTTACAATGCTAAACACCTACCCCCCAAAAGCAGAAAAATCTCAAATTAATGATGTAACTTCGTACTTAGAAGAACTAGAAAAACAAGCACTAGCCCTAAAGCTAGCAGAAGAAAAGAAATAACTAAAAACAGAGCTAAACTGAACAAAAATGAGACTCAAAAATCCATTCAAAGAATCAGTGAAACCAAAAGTTGGTTTTTTGAAAGGATAAATAAGATTGCTAGACTTCTAATTAGAGTAACAAAAGAAAAGAGAAGATTCAAGCAAACACAATCAGAAACTAACATTATAACTGATCCCACAGAAATTCAAAAGATCCTCAGAGATGATTAGACAGCACATTTATAATTACAAAAACGTTTCTATGCAAACAAACTAGGAAATCTAGAGGAAATAAGTAAATTCCTAGAAACACAATCTCCTAAGATTGAATAAAGAAAAAATTGAAACAATGAACAGACCAATATTGATTCTGAAATTGAATCAGTAATAAAAAATCTACCAACCAAGAAAAGCCCTGGGCCAGATGGATTAAAAACTGAATTCTTCCAGACATACAAAAAAAAAACTGGTACCAAATTTACTGAAACTATTCCAAAAAAATCAAGGATGAGGGACGCCTTCCTAACTCACTCTATGAAACCAGCATCACCCTGATAACAAAACCTGACAGAGATACAACAAAAAAAGAAAACTACAGGCCAATATCCCTTATGAACGTAGACACAAATATGCCCAAAAACTATTAGCATACCAAATTCAACAGCACATCAACAAGTTGATTGACCACAAACGGGCTTCATTCCTGGGATGACAAGTTGTTTCAACATGAGCAAATCAATAAATATGATTTATCATATAAACAGAATTTAAAACCATATGGTCATCTCAATAGACATGGAAAAAAGCTTTTGATAAAATCTAACATCCCTTAATGATGAAAACCCTCAAGAAATAAGGCATCAAAGGAACCTACCTCAAAATAAGAGCCATTTATGACAAATGCACAGACAATATCATACTGAACAGGCAAAAACTGGAAGCATTCCCCTTGAGAATTAGAACAAGGCAAGGATGCCCACTCTTACTACACTTAATCGAAATAGAACTGTAAGCACTAGCCAGCGCAATCAGGCAAGACGAATAAATAGAAAAGCAGCCAAATTGGAAGAGAAGTCAAATTATTTCAACCCATTGATAAAATGATTCTATACTTAGAAAACCCTAGGGACTTCACCAAAAGGCTGTTAGAACTGATAAATGATTTTAGCAAGATTTCAGGATACAAAAATCAATGTACAAAAATCAGTACCCTTTTTATATACCAACAACATTAAGTTGAAAGCCAAAGAAAGAACACAGTCCCATTTTCAAAAGCCACAAAAAAATTAAATACCTAGGAATACATCTAAACAAGGAGGTGAAAGATCTCTGCAAGGAACACTACAAAACAGTACTAAAAGAAATCACAGATGACACAAACAAATAGAAAAAAAAATCCAAGCTAATGGATTTGAAGGATCAATGTAATTAAAACGGTCATATTGCCCAAAGCAATATACAGATTCAATGATATTCCTATCAAATTTCCAACATCATTTTTCACATAATTAGGAAAACTATGCTAAAAGTATACAGATCAAAAAAAGAGCCCAAATAGCCAAAGGAATCCTGAACAAAAAGAACAAAGATGAAGGCATCACATTACCCAACTTCAACTATTCTATAAGGCTACAGTAACCAAATCAGCATTGCACTGGCACAAAAACAGACATGTAGACCAGTGAAATAGAATAGAGAACCCGGAAATAAAGCCACACACCCACAGGCATCTGATCTTTGACAAAGTCAACAAAAATAAGTAAAAGGGAAAGGACTCCCTGTTCAATAAATGGTGTTAGAATAGCTGGTGAGTCACATGAAGATGAATGAAACTGGACACTACCTTTCACAATATGCAAAAATTAACTTAAGGTGGAGTAAAGATTTCAATATAAGACCTCAAACTATGAGAATCCTAGAAGAAAACCTAGGAAACACCATTCTGGACATCAGCCTTGGGAAAAAATTTATTGTTAAGTCCTCAAAAGCAATTGGAAACAAAAACAAAAATTTTCAAGTGAGACCTAGTTAAACTAAAGAGCTTCTGTGCAGCAAAAGAAACTACCAACAGACTAAACAGACAACCTACATAATAGGAGAATAGATTCATAAGCCCTGCATCCAACAAAGGTCTAATATCCAAATAGTCTATGATAAAGTACAATTGAACATGCAAAAAAAAAAATTAAAATGGGTATAAGACATGAACACTTCTCAAAAGAAGACATACAAGCAGCCAAGCATATAAAAAAAATGCTCTACATAACTAATCATCAGAAAAATGCAAATAAAAACCACAGTGAGATACCATCTCACATCAGTCAGGATAGCTATTCTTAAAAAGTCAAAAAATAACAGATGTTGGGTGAGGCTGCAAAGGAAAGGGAATGCTTATACACTGTTGGTATGAATGTAAGTTAGTTCAGCCACTGTGGAAAACAGTTTGGAGATTTCTCAAAGAACTTAAGACAGAACTGTCATTTGATCCAGCAGTCCTGTTAACTGAATATAAACCCAAAGGAAAATAAATCAAAAGACATATGCACTTGTATGTTCATTGCTATGCTACTCACACTAGCAAAGACATAGAATAAACCTAGGTGCCCATCAATGGTGGATTATGGAAGGAAAATTTGGTAAATATACACCACGGAAGAGTATGCAGCCATAAAAAAATGAAATCATGTTCTTTGCAGCAACATGGATGCAACTAGAGGCCATTATCCTAAGCGAATTAATTCAGGAACAGAAAACCAAATACTGCACGTTTTCACTTATAAGTGGGAGCTAAATATGGGGTACTCTTGAATATAAAGATGGCAGTAATAGACATTCAGGGCTACTGAGGGAGGAGGTGAAAAGAGTTGAAAAACTTTTGGGTACTATGCTCAGTTCTTGGGTGGCAAGATCATTCATACCCCAAACCTCACAATCATACAATATCCCAAGGTAACAAACCTGAATATGTGGCTCCTGAATCTAAAATAAAATTTGAAAAAATAAAAAAATAAAATACAGACTATTTCAGTTAACTCACTCACTGGGAGCTCTCCTTGGTGCTGAAACCTGCATCTTGCCTGAAGTATGGATCATTATTATTCTAATTTTTATATTAATAATTTATAGTTTTTGAGGCAAGTCATTTCAATGATATTCTGAGGAATTATATGCCTATTTAGAAACTGCTACATTATTTCTCTAAAATGTAAGTTTATTTTCCAAGACCACATAATAGTAGGGGTGAGGTTAGAACTCAAATCCAGTACATTCTACTCAAGTGTAGTGTTCTATCTCTCCACTTAATTCCAACTATCCTCACATATTACTATATCTGGCCATTAGCTAATAATATCACTCAACTTAACTATGAGGGACTCTTTGGCTCTGTGTCTAGAAATCACTTGACAAAGTTTAACACCCTTAAATAGGCATTTTTCAATTGAATTTTGGAACATGGAAGGAGAATGTAGTACTACCTATGCTGTCCTATTCCTGAGACAAAGAAAGCAAGGAGGAATCTGGACACTTGTTCTGTCCTCTTGACCAGGCATTTTAACTGCCCACAAGATTAAAGAAAAAGGAGTAAGTGAGTACTTAGCTCTGACTTAGGGATACGTGGAAGAGGAGGGTTCCACTCCACTCCACTTGGGTGGGAATATGGGGCTCTTATTGCAGAGAAGCTTTGTAATTTTGCCAAGCCACCTAACCTAATGCCACTGTGAATATAGAAGGGAGGAAGACTGACTAAATAGGTGACATTTTTTTCTCTTACCTAGGAGACACACAGAGACTGAAAGCTGGTTGAAGGCAGTATAATCTTCAAACAGGAAGTACCAATAACCATCAAAGAGAATATTTCATTTCTAGTGTATGTGCCATGAATGAGAAGACCATTAGGCATGACTAAGTCTCAATTTTGTGGTTATCTTTTCTCTTCTTTAGAGAAATTACCATGATATCATACTCAGGAACATGCATAATATGTATTAATATAAAAGCATTTTCTTTACATTTTTGGAAGTATGTTTTAAATAATAAGGGGAAAAAATCCTTGATTCCATACTGAAGAGTCATGCTCTTATTTACCCAACTCAATTCCCTTGCCTGAAATGTAAAGGGGGTTCCTGCTATTACTGCTTAATGCAAAGACATTGAAACAACAAATAAATCATGTATCTTTTATTGGGACTTGCTTGTTTTCCTATTTATACCACCCTAAGCTATCATCATAGGAATTTACACCTCCATCCCCAAGCTTATGACTTCATCAACTTCACCACAAATCTTCCAAAATAAGTGCTGACCTTTCCCTTTGCTGAAGTATCTTGAAATTTTAGTACAATGAGATAGTAAGGATTGTAAGAAACACTAGAAAAACAAGTAGAAGAGACTACCAATGGAAATACAGCACAGACTCTGAAAGATGTGAATTAATGAATAATTACTGTGTAGCAGACTCTTTTTCCAGGGCTCTGTAGGTATTACTTCATTTATCCTCACATGAAATCTACAAGTTAGTTTTGTTAATAAATCCAACTTCAAATAAAGAAATTGAAAAACAGAGAAGTTAAAAACTTGTCCCCCTTTCACCTCTCTAGTGAAAAGGAGCCAAGTTTTAGAACCAGGTTATCTAATTCTAAATTATCTGCCCTTCACTAGTAAGCCTAGCCATAAGCAGCAATATAAAATTCAAGTCTCCAATACAGCAACCAACAGTTGTCTACTTATTTTCCCTTTTTGATTCATCTAAGTAGAATTTAATTCCAAAACTTATTAATTACCCTGTTTTAAACATGTATTATCTTTCTATGAAGATAAACTGGTTTGAAAAATGATCCAGAATTATTATATACCCCATTGATATCTAGAACCATCTATAGCCCTGATGGTTACCTGACAAATTGTTATTTAATTAAATTATTAACAAGCTTTGAAGGTAAGTATGTTTTTAAATTCTAATTTTTAAAAATGAGAATCACACAGAATCTTAAATTCAAAATTTTTGATTTTGGAAAAACCTGACAGAATAACTAATCACAGAAAGAAGAGATAACTTGTTCAAGGTCACACAGCCAGTTAGCATAAAGCCAAGAAAATCACTGGAGGATCAGGATCCTTTGACAAGAGGTGAGCAATTTCTCTTCTGGCAGATAATGAGAGGAGGGTTGAAAGGACATCAGCGCAATGTAGTATGCAAGTAAGTAAGTGTTTGCAACTGGGAACACTTGAGGAGAGACAAAATCAGGGACCTGGAGGAAATGTTTGATAACTGGCATGCCCCTGTCATGGAAGCAGTAAAGTAACACAAGGAAATGACAAACTAATGGGAGCCCTGGTGGGAAGCAGCTGGCACATGTTCTTTCCTGAATTGTAGCTTAAATGATCATTGCCATTCTTGTCAGATGGTCTGGTGTATTTGGACAGCAGCAATCCCCAGATTTCTACTGCCCTGAGCAGGGGTGGAGTATGTCCCAAGCAAAGTGGAATCAATGAAGACAGCTGAGAGAGGAGCTTTGAAGGAACAGAATACATTCTGACATAGATTCCAAATGGGGATAAAAACCACTGTGTGGATGTCACAGGAAAACAGGTATCAGCTCATCACAGACAAGAATATTCTAACAGCTAAAATGTGCATCACCAGGAGCTGCTTTGAAGAAGAGCAGAATGACCTCCCAGTCACTTAAAGCATTTAAGCAGAGGCTGAATATCAGGAATGTGGTGAAGAAAATTTCAATATCAAATAAGTTGTTGGACTACATAATTTTCAAACTCTTTTCAAATTCACAGATTCTAATATTATAAATTAGCTTATATTACAAAGTGTATTTCAAAGTTAAACAGGGGAATTCTACCTCACTGTCTTGAATCTGAAGCAAAGCTCTAATCTGGATTCACCCTAGACCATAGGCTAAAGGTACCAATACTTCACATTTCCATATAGTACTTGATAGTCTACGCAGCATTTTTTCCTCCTAGGATATAATATGATTCCCACAAAACCCTGAGGACAGCAAGGCAGAGGCATTATTTCCCATTAGATACAAGAAATGGGGTCCTTAATTTAGCTAATGGTTATGAACCTCCCATGAGATTGAGAGGTGACAGCGTGCTGGCAGCCCTCGCAGCCCTCGCCCGGTCTCAGTGCCTCCTTGGCCTTGGCGCCCACTCTGGCCACACTTGAGGAGCCCTTCAGCCCGCCGCTGCACTATGGGAGCCCCTCTCTGGGCTGGCCGAGGCCGGAGCCAGCTCCCTCTGCTTGCGGGGTGTGGAGGGAGAGGCGCGGGCGGGAACCAGGGCTGCGCGAGGCACTCGCGGGCCAGCGCGAGTTCCGGGTGGGCATGGGCTCGGCGGGCCCCACACTCGGAGCAGCCAGCTGGCTGGCACCACCAGCCCCAGGCAGTGAGGGGCTCAGCACCTGGGCCAGAAGCTGTGGAGGGTGTGCCGGGTCACCCAGCAGTGCCAGCCTGCTGGCACTACGCTCGAATTCTCACTGGGCCTCAGCTGCCTCCCCACAGAGCAGGGCTCCTGACCTACAGCCCACCATGCCCGAGCCTCCTCCCCACTCTGTGGGCTCCTGCACTGCCTGAGCCTCCCCGACGAGCGCTGCTCCCTGCTTCACGGCGCCTGGTCCCACCAACCGCCCAAGCGCTGAGGAGTGTGGGTGCACGGCACTGGACTGGTGGGCAGCTCCGCCTGTGGCCCCAGTGCAGGATCCATTAGGTGAAGCCAGCTGGGCTCCTGAGTCTAGTGGGGACTTGGAAAACCTTTATGTCTAGCTAAGGGATTGTAAATACACCAATCAGCACTCTGTGTCTAGCTCAAGGATTGTAAACACACCAATCAGCACTCTGTGTCTAGCTCAAGGTTTGTAAATGCACCAATGAGCACCCTGTGTCTAGCTCCAGGTTTGTAAATGCACCAATCAGTGCTCTGTGTCTAGCTAATCTAGTGGGGACTTGGAGAACTTTTGTGTCCAGCTCAGGGATTGTAAACACACCAATCAGCACCCTGTCAAAACGGACCAATCAGCTCTCTGTAAAATGAACCAATCAGCAGGTTGTGGGTGAGGCCAGATAAGGGAATAAAAGCAGGCTGTGCGAGCCAGCAGTGGCAACCCACAGTCCCCTTCTATAGTGTGGAAGCTTTGTTCTTTTGCTCTTTGCAATAAATCTTGCTGCTGCTCACTCTTTGGGTCTGCACTGCCTTTATGTGCTGTAACACTCACTGCAAAAGTCTGCAGCTTCACTCTTGAGGCCAGTGAGACCACGAACCCACCAGGAGGAATGAACAACTCCAGACAGAAGGAATGAACAACTCCAGACGCACTGCCTTAAGAGCTGTAACACTCACCACAAATGTCTGCAGCTTCACTCCTGAAGCCAGCGAGACCACGAACCCACCAGAGGGAATAAACTCCGAATGTGTGTGAACATCAGAAGGAACAAACTCCGAACACACCGTCTTTAAGAACTGTAACACTCACTGCGAAGGTCCGTGGCTTCATTCTTGAAGTCAGTGAGACCAAGAACCCACCAATTCCGGACACAAGATCATAGGCACTTTTCTAGGTACTGGAGATAGGATGGTGAAAAGAAGTTCTAGACTCGCTTCATGAAGCTTACATTCTTGTGGAGACAGACATTGAAAAAAAAAAAGTATGTATTCTGTCCTGAGGGGCTAAATGCTACTGATAAAAATGACCTAGGGTAAGAGGATGAAGATTAATGATGTAGAAGGTACTAGTTTATATAGAGCGGTGAAGGAAGACCCGTGGCTGCCTAGAAAAGAGTACAACAGTCAGAGGGAATGGAAAGCACAAAGGCTGTGAGAAGAAAGCATTTTTGTGCTTTCAAATAATGGAAATTAGGCAAGCATGGCTAGACTAGAGTGAAAAGGGCAGGAAAAGGTAGGGGAGGAGATGAGATTGCATAGGACATTGCAGACTGCTCCATAGACTTTGGTTTTGTTCTAGGTGAGGTGAAAAGCCATTGCAGGACTCTAAGCACAGAAGCTTATGATGGCCTAGAATAGGCCAGTAGTGGTGGAGGCAGTGGGAGGTGGGTTAGATTCTGGATTTATTTTGCAGGCAGAACACTTAACTGGATGCTGGCTGAATAAACATTTTAACACAAGTCTTTCAGTTTTAGTTAGTAACATGACATCCTAAAGCATTGACTTTGAGCAAGTCATTCCACTCTCTGTGCATTTTCATGTTGCAATTGGGAAGTTCATGACACTTGCAAACTTAATGTGGTACTTTTTAAGTTTAACATTTTTAGGTGCTACTATGGATGCTCTTCTTCTGTGACATGGGGATGAAAACACTGGGTTTGTTTTGTACACAGGACCTGTTCCTTTGAGATTTATGAAGCCCCGCCTGTTTAGAGAGATGGTAACACATCCCACCTCCACTCACATAGCAGTTAGAGGCACACAATTACACACAGAGCTCACCACATGCTCTTGGCATTGAGGTTTCCTGCTTTTGTCTAAATATGTATCTGAAATACTCACAGGATCCCTGGGAGGTAACTGACTCACAGAAAGACTGAGGCAATGAGACATGAAAGGCTGGCCTACAGTCACAGAGATTTTGGTGGAAAATGGTTTTAGTCTCATGTTCAATACTATCCTTAGTCACCCAGCAGCTCTTTTCCTAAAATGCTCCACAAAAATATTCATGGAGAGGGCCAGATGGATTCATCAAAACTGACATTTTTGGGTTTAAAAGTAACAGAGACAGTTTACACGTTCTAGAAAATGAGGGGGCACTGGATTTCACAATCATGAAATGCTTTGCTGGTGCCATTTGCTTTCTATGCAATTAGAAATTGTTTTTATTGTTGCAAGTGAGATTTACAATATGTACTTCTGAATACGGTTTCAAAAAATTATGCAGGCCTGAACGCAATTTAGAGCTCATGTTAGCAAACTGGAAGGTAGATTTTTTCACTGGGTGGTTAACTGCTTCTATCCCCTTCTGTGAAAGCTTCTCAGTAGAATATATTCAGTAATACCCTTCTCCAAACTACAAATTAATTAAAATTTGTGCGCTATTTCTTCCTCCCATCTGCCTTTTCTGTGTCTCATCTTCATTTTTAGCATTCTTTTGGGATTTCTAGGTTGCCATTATTCCAGGAAACAGCCCCAAAACACATGCACAAAATGTCTTCCCTAGGTACATTGGATTGTTAAAAGAGGAGTCTAGAAAAATTAATCCTGAACCCTAAAGAATAAATCTTAAGTGGTGGATACATGGGTTGAATAGTGTGCTCCAAAATTCACATCCACTTGAAACTTCAGAGAGTGGCCATATTTGTAAATAAGGTATTTGCGGGTGTAATCAGTTAAGGATCTCAAGATAAATTCATCCTGAATTATAAGTTGTCCTTAAATCCAATTACTGGTATCCTTACAAGAAGGTGAGAGGAGACAGAATAGAGCCATCTGAAAAGGGTCAGAAATTGGAGTGATGCTGCCACAAACCAAGCTACACCTGGAGACATCAGAAGCTGGAAAAGGCAAGGAATCATTCTTCACTAGAGCCTTCAGAGGGAGTATAGACATACCAGCACCTTGATTTGGAACTTCTACCTTCCAGAACTGTGAAAGAATACATATTTGTAGTTTTAAGTCAATAAGACTATAGTAATTTGTTATGGAGGCCTATAACATAAATACAGAGGGATTTGAAGCATGATGGCACTTGCAGAAGAAAGAAAGATATGGGCAGGCGACCTTCACTGAACCCATCAAATCACACCAGGGTGTGGAGAATGACTCAGATGCGTATATTCAAAGACACACAGTTCTGGTTAATGGTTACAGTCTCTGTTGGCAGCAGAATGCCTGGACTGAATCCTAGCCCACCACTTCCTAAATGTGGGGCTTTGGCAAATAACATCTGTATTCTGTAGTTTCTTCATTTGTAAAATGGCATTAATACCATACCTCCCTCAAAGAGACATTGTGGTAATTAAATGAGAGATTGCACGTTGAACTCAGAACAATGACTGGCACATAGCACTCAATCAGATACATATTTTTTAAAAATTAAAAGAGGCCATAGACAGGTACGGTGGCTTATGCCTATAATCTCAGCACTTTGCGAGGCTGAGGGAGATAGATCACCTGAGGTCAGGAGTTTGAGACCAGCCTAGCCAACATAGAGAAACCCCGTCTCTGCTAAAAATACAGAAATTCACTGGGCAAGGTTGTGCACACCTGTTGTCTCAGTTACTCGGGAGGCTGAGGCAGGAGAATTGCTTGAACCCAGGAGGCGGAGTTTACAGTGAGCTGATATCGCGCCACTATACTCCAGCCTGGGCGACAGAGCGAGACTCCATCTCAAAAAAAAAAAAAAAAAGGCCAGGCACTGACCTTTCCAATTACTTCAATGACTAATTTTGATCTCTAGAATCATCTTGTTTGAAATGAAACATTGTTTATTAGATATGTATCCTTTTGTCTTAAAATTACAAAGTAGAATCATACTCTGTGTTCCCTTCAAAGCATGACCACTAAAGGAAAATGAACAAGGGAGAAATTTCCTGAGAGCCGAATCCAGAAACTCCAGACTAAGTAAGGCCTCTTGCCTCCCTTTCCACGAGGGAGGCGTGGGCACCCTGCTGTTTGTCTATTACATTACACGTTAGTTTTCAGTGCAAGCAGTTCAAAATTCAGGTGGATACAGAGAGTTTCAACTCTGTAATGATTAATCTATTAAAAAAATAAGTGAAGCGAACATAAGTGTTAATACTTAATAGAACATGTGCCTGTTACATATTCCTGTCTGTCAGAAGTATTTTTACATAATTACTTGAAATAATGATCTAAGTAAAACTTCAAAAACAACAATGAAAACACGTGAACCAACATGAATCAGGATATAAATACTAAGAGTCATGACAAATTTTAAGGTCAAAGTTCCAGTTAG
The DNA here is from genome assembly GCF_000001405.40 of Homo sapiens. Classification (NCBI taxonomy): domain Eukaryota; kingdom Metazoa; phylum Chordata; class Mammalia; order Primates; family Hominidae; genus Homo; species Homo sapiens. Next base: position 51,860,087 of record NC_000018.10, on the reverse strand, counting down.
GCAGTAAGAAAACAGAACATGGAAACACGCTGGGCAGAAAGAAGTGGGCAAGAGAATAAAAGAGCCTCTATCAGTGCCAAGACCACCTTAGATTTCCCAGTGAAAAAATTGCCATGAACACCTTTCCTGAATGGAGATTACTCATAGAATGGGGCCTTTTAAAGATAGAATCAGCCAGCCATGGTGGCTCAAGCCTGTAATCCCAGCACTTTGGGAGGCTGAGGCAGGCAGATAACCAGAGGTCAGGAGTTCAAGACCAGCCTGTCCAACATGGTGAAACCCCATCTCTACTAAAAATACCAAAAACAAAAACAACAACAAAAAAATTAGCTGGGCATGGTGGCACACACCTGTAATCCCAGCTACTAGGGAGGCAGAGGCACGAGAATCACTTGAACCTGGGAGGTGGAGGTTGCAGTCAGCTCAGATCATGCCACTGCACTCCAGCCTGGGTGACAGTGAGACTCCATCTCAAAAAAAAAAAAAAAAAAAAATAGAATCAGGAAACAGATGGACTACAGGGTCCTGTTTTCAGAGGGTATGTCTTGTTCACTCAGGCAGTTCTTAGGACATAGTTGGTCCTATATAAATTTTCCTTGAGTTGAAATGATGAGTACCTTTGAACATGGACAGCAAAGTGAGACAGACGTGGGGCCTAATGATGTTGACTGTAACCAATGCCTCACCACTTTGTTCAAAAGGAATTTTTCGTATCTGCTTATTCTAGACTGAGGGTAGGCTGGCTGCTGTTGGAGTTTGGTAGCAGGATGGCACAAGTCCCATTGCTGGCTCATAGGTCTTTAAAGCTATCTCCTGCTCCCAGTTCCCACACTTGGGATCACACTGAGCAGTTGTTTGGGTTCCTGCTGTCACTTCTCAGAGTAACAGTTCTGCAGAATCAAGTGTAGTGAGAGGCACAGGCTCAGGCAATAGTGCCTGACTCCAGCCAGGGCTCTGACTAGCAGAAATCCCTTTGTGCCATATCCTGTTAAGCATAACTTATAAGTGATGCTGTTGAAATTGCTTCAGAGTCCAGATGGGATGTCTGTAGCCATCAGAAAGCTTCATTTCCAGGACTCAGCCAACTGGGGGATGGCCCTGGACCTGGCAGCATGGATAGTTCTTTACTCAGCAAGCTTAACCACACGAAGCCCATGCATATACTGATAATCAGCCTCTCTCTGCCCTTCAGTGAGAAAGACAAGTGTTTCCCCTCTCTTCCTTACGCTGCGACTATATTTCAGGTGTAAAGCTGCCCTGGTGGTCATTTGGGTCTTAGTTCACTGCATGAAATTCTGGGCCAAGAAATACATGGTAAGGAGCCTTTCATCCTGCTGTCAGAGCCACTTGCAGATGTGAGGATCTGAGAATCTATAGGAAGATGGACACTATCAGGGCATCATATCCCTTCAGTCTTGTACAGAGCAGGACCTGGGAAGCTGATTTTCTCCATGGATCTCCCAATGTACCATGCAGAATCCAGAGATGCTACTCCCAGGATAGAGCAGGAGCAGAAGGGAGAGAAAAGAACTTCCCTCACATGATAGAGAGTGGTCGATGTCCCTCACATGGTAGGGAGTGGCTGATGTCCACTGCCTCAACAGCTCTCGTGGCTTCCTTATCTTACCTGGCCATTTCCTAAAAGTTGGAAGATTTGATTTGCCTTCATATTTCTGGGTACCCAAGAATTCAGAGTAAGATATATGACCAGACCTCCCTCCTAGACAGATGGCTAGAGCAGACTTCTTTGGAGTGATTGATGATTCAGTGGCACTTCTGCCTGGGCCAACACCGAGGCTGGGGGATCTGAAGCTGCAGAGTCATCCTTGTAAGCAGACAGATTTACTCTTTGTGAGTCAGGTTTGTAACCAGCTCAGAGCACCCTTCCACAGGACTACCTCAGGACCATCTGCTTTCTGTTGGATGTGCAAACTCACATCCACACACTTGCCTCCTGCTTTGCCATGGCTGGGATGGAATGACACATTGCTCTCCCTCTCACAGCGCTCTGTAACAGAAAGCATCTCCCTTCAAGTCGCCTCAGTCCCGCCCCTTGAGCTCAGAAAAGTGAGGATGGCTTGTCGAGACTGAAAAATTTTTATTCCTGTATATCTTCACCATACTGTGATGAGTTAGTTAAAAGTAATCTGTTTACTAAAGCAAATTCAGTGATCCTCCTGGCAGGAGGTGGGGAGGGTGTACTTTACGTTATAAAAGTTGAGCAGAATACAGTGTTTCAAATGTGCATCTTATACCTGACCCCTGTTCTTAAATCAGAGAGCCTTTGCCCAAGGTATTGACTTGTTGGTTCTCACTTGAATGTCTCCTGGACTACATGTGAGCTTCCCCCTGTGCTATATTCTTTGTGAGATCAAGGACAAGAGGTACTGGTTTATTTATATAATACTATGCCTGATACATCTTAGCACTCAAATATGTGATGGATAAAGAACAAATGCATTACAGAATAAAGTAACGGTCTCATAACCCTAGGTTGAAATACAGAGTTTGGCTGCTGTTTGCTTGTTTTCCAGTTTTGTTTTTGTTTTTGTTTTGTTTCAATATGGGATCCCATGGCAAAACCGCACCAAATTGGAAGTTCTTTAAGTTTGGGAGGAAAAAAAGCCTGTAGAACTGAGGCCTGTCTGACTACAGCCAGAATTTGCCTGCCAGAAGCTGAATCAAAGCTGCTCCCCTGCTCTGCCCTCCTCCTGAGAAGACATCCAAAAATAGTTCCTCTGTGGGGGTCCCGCAGTGCCCCAGAGGCCCTTGCAGCTGTACTTCATCAAAACACCATGACCAGCCATGATGCTTCTTCCCATGAAGAAAGGCTCATTTCTACACCCCTTCTTCAAATGCCAGGGGAACATACTCCTCTAACCTCAACTTCAGAGTTTCCTGCATCACCACCTACGTGGCCCCAGCCTGGGAGTTACTGGCAATGTCCCCCAAAATAGCCTTTATTAGACTTTGGCATTTTTTAGTAACTTTAGTCAGAAGTTTCTCTGGCCAGAGAAATCTTGAATAGGTCAAGCCCCTCTATGAGAAAGGGACTCTCTGGCACATGTGCACAGGCACAGGATCCAGATGAATGCAGACTTGGGCCAACTGCTTCTCCAAATGCACAGCTGGCTGGTGGCCCCAGTTTGTTTGCCAGGATCAGAACAGGGCAGTTTGTATGAGACACAGAGGAGTTTCGACTCCTCACCATGGGGCAGCAGGTTAATTGTGTTCTGACCCCCACTCAATGGTATGCAGCTCGCTCCTAGCAAGTGTGTGGGCAAGACCATTAGACAAGCAGGCAATCACCTGAGGCTCACAGGTGATTCTCTATTTAGATATAGCCTCAACATATCCATTTGGAATACCTGACAATCACCTGAGGTTCACAGGCCAGCCCTCCTGGGCAACTTGACAGAGGCAATAACTGACGTTGAAAAAGCCTCTGGAGGGAGAGAGAAAGGGGAAAACCATGACAGAAGTAGAAATGGGTGAGTAGAAGAGGGAAGTGAGGGAACGAGGAGCAGAGAGAAAAAGAAAAGGAATTCTTAACACTGTTCAACCTGCTTTTCTGGTCCTTTCCCTCACCTGCATTACAGGTTCTAAGGGCATTCCCCACCTAGAAATGCCCCTGAGGAAATAACTACCAATTTACAATAAGGCTTATTCTGTTAACTCCCATCATTCAACATCTGTGTCAACCCATGGGTGAGCCACATTCTCTCACCAGTATTCATGATAGATACTTCAGATGTGCTGTTCTCTATCATAGCACTTCCACGTGCTTTACATCATTGCATCCTCACAACCATCTTGTGAAACATACAGAACAAGCGTCTCCATTGTAGATAGAGAAAATGGAATTCAGAGATGTATGTTCTCCTCCAAGATCACATAGTAGTGGCAGAGTGAGTAATAAAAGCCAGGTTTCCTGGACAACTTGGACCAGTCTGCATGATGTTTGGAGAGAGAGAGGGGAGCCCATTTGAATCTGTGCAGGAATCCTCCAGAGATCATTCGAGTACTCGAGACATAGTAATCCATTGCTGTCATTTATCTATTTGGCTTAGACCACGAAGGTACCTGCTAAATCACTTGTCACCTTGGAAAGGGGAGGACAAGGTATAGCAGCCATCTCTTCTCTCACCCTCACCTTCTGACACTGATGACTATATTAGTGGAGCTACACTGGTGCCTTGGATTATTCAAAGAGCCTAGAAAAGTAAATTTCTTTGTCAAGGTCTTGGGTCAAGGTAGGATGAGGGTATTCCAAATGGATATGTTGAGGCCACATCTAAAATAAAAAATCCCAAGTATGGGAGGCCAGGGAGGGATCCTGTCTAGAGGGAGGGTAAATGCCTCAGTAGAACATCGGTGTTCTGCCTCTGATCTGTGGGCAGCTGTATTGAAGAGAGGATCAGGGCACATTCTAGTTTTTCCCCCTCTCCCATCCCCAGGGCCTTGGGCATACATTCACTGAATATTAAACTTTTATATTTAATTATATTCTTTACTACTTACATCCGTGTGTGAATATTAAATATCCTACAGAAGTGGCACCAAAGAAACAGTTTAAATGACATGCTCAGGTGCATTCAGCATATTCAGTGGTATTGCAGACATGAATTTTTGTTCTTATAGACACTATACTATGTTTCTTATACAGTCTTCCCAATGACACCAAAAGGAATTTAACACCAGGCTCTAGGCCATATCTATCCGTACCCTGCTGCTTCAGGAGGTATGGGACAAAGAGTTCTCACTGGAGTCAGCGTAAGTGGACTTCCACTAGTTATGTGACCATGGGCCTAGCATGTCAGCCTGTGGACTCCAGCTTTATCATGTCTAAAATGATTAGACTCAATTTCAAAGACCCCCTTCCAGCTTTAACATTCGATGATCTCATTGTTCCTTGGCCCTCCACTCCTACCTGTCTGCAGAGCACAGCAAGTAATAAGCCTCCTTTCCACATAACCACTCAGCTCCCTCCCTCCATGGGCAGCCTGACCCCCCAGTGCTTCAGTGGACCAAGAGAAAGTTGATTCTGGGAGATGCATCACCTGCCTCCGCATCCCTGATCCCCTCTTCCCCTCCACTTCTCCCATCCATACCTGTCTTTAGGCCTCAGCTTCCTGGGTCACAGCAGGGAAACTCCCACCCACCAGCTGGGTTGATTTTATTTTGGAGAAGAGAGAACAGCTGGGTGATTTTAAAGATGGAACTTAAGATCCACTTAACTAGTCAACTCCAGTTGTCAGGGCCCCGAAGCTGCATTTAAGGACAGGAGTTGTGGATGTGACGGGAAAGCCAAGAGACCCAGATGCCTTGTCCTCCCCTAGCAGGAGAGGCTGTATACTTCATGAGATTTTCCCAAAGAACTTCTGCTACACTGCTTTGGTTTTATTCTTCTCTTTATAAAAGATATTCACTAGTGTCAGGTCTTTTGAGTCTTTTGTCTTAGAAAAGAAAGAGGGTCAGCAAGTTAACAAATTAAACATATTCCACCTGGCCAGGCCAGCAAAAGCTAATTTTACATGGTCTCAGCCTGACCCATCCCCAGATCCTGATATGTATCTAAATGATGGAAAGCTCTGTTCAAATTCATAAAATATTTCACAGCAGAGTAAAACAGATCTAATAGGTCCATTTCTCATTAAAAAGGTCAATGCCAGGAACATCTGATGCTATATAACTGTCTGATTCAATTTAGCCTGCCAAGCCCGACTAATCCTATCTTTGAATTGGGGTAAATTCATTTCCCCTGAAAAAAATAATTAATTTCCCCACAAGCTGGCATATAATATACTCCGAACCTATATTGTTACAAGGCATTACTGCAATATTGATCAAAACCAACCAATCCACTAAACCAAAACTTTGAAAAAGTTCCGTGCCATAAATTAGTATTTAAGAGCCATAAGCAATGAAATCTAAATCCTATTAGGAGCTGCATAGTATCTTCGGCCTAAGAGCAGATTCCGAACACTTGGAAGCAAACCTGTTCAAAGTTCACCTATTCTGAATCCACAGCTGCTATCAGGAAAGAGAATCTGATTTTTCAAACTTTCTTAGGAATCAATAGATTAAGACAAACAATACTATACAACACAAAGACCACTAGACCCTGAATCAGAACCAGGGTATATTTTCAGTTCTATCTCTTGCTCACTGTGTGACCCTGGGAAAAAAACTCCTTCCCCTCTCAGGACTCTAATTACTTCTTCTATCATGCGAGGGTTTTAAACTTGTCTTTTTGATGGCATCCAGCAGTATTACTTTTTGTTTGACTCTAAATGAGTGTTAATTATATAGACAGACTTCTAATATGGACCCTAAGTATTTAGGACTCTAGTCCCAAAGTCACACACACACACTTACCTAGTTAACCCCAAAGTCATCTTTAACGGTCTCTCATTTTAGAGTGCTGCCTTCAGAAATGTGCATATTTCTCCTTATAGCCATTTTTATGTGTAATTCTTAGTGTTTTCCTTGGTAAACTATTATAATACCCCATAGAGGATTACCTGTGTTCCTTGAATATCTCCATTTCTCCTTTTGGGCATAGGTAGGTTTACATGTCTCTACCCTCTTGGAATTAGGCATGCTCTTATGGCATGCTTTAGCCAGCGAAATGTGCGAAGTGACAACAGAGCTGGCCCATCATTTTCTGCACTTTCTTCCTCTGCCACTGCTACTGACAATATTATAGACCGTGGCTGCTCCATTTCCCTGGGTGTAGGGGCAGATACATCAAAGCAGAGCCCCCAGCCAACCAACAGGGAGCATGAGTGTTAAGCAAACGTGTGTTTGATGAGGCCATTGGGATTTGATTGATGCAACTCCACTTCAAAAAGACTATCACTTGGGTGGGCTGTTAGAAGCAGTAGAGTAAGTTATAGGCAAGAAGAATATAGTCCACCTGTTTACAACAGAAATCCTGGGTTGTTAACGGATTCTCTTATAAAATTGTTTTATAAGTGTTTACCCAACAGTAACATCGACAAGACCTTTGGGTGTTGCAAAATGAAGTATCAGAGACAGATCAGAGACCCTGGGTTGATTCAAGAAAGAACAACAATTGCAGAGAAACCAAGTAATAAAACCACAGTTGCTGAGTCATAGGAGTGGGTTTAAGTACAAAGAAATTGATGCTAAGATGCTCAAGAGGCAAATTACAGAGGGATGCCCAGTCTGAATGCTCAGGGCAAAAAGTTCCCCCATGGGTTTGCTTCACTATTACATTCTGTCTGTTTTGCAGCTGTGCCATGCCTTAGTAATGTGGTCATAATTTTTGGTTTGTTTCTGTCAGCTTTAGCCCACTAAGCAGTCTTGGGAAGCAACCATGCATAAAATCAGCTAAAAGGGGGCAAGTCAAACTCATCAGAAGATACATTCTGGATTACTAACCTAAATATTTTTTATCCTTACTGTGTGTTTCTTAACAATGCAACAGCATTAATTTTCCCCACCAGTGTAAACATTATTAATTGCTGTAAGTTAAGCAAAGAAACACCATTAATTCCTAAAGTCAAAACAGAGGCAGCAACAAGCAGTAGAGTCGCCGCCTTCCTTACCAAAGTCAGAGCTAAGGACGAGAGCGATGAAAGGTGTGGGGTGCTTCTGTCAACAGCTTCCTAGCTCCCATCTTTTAGCATCTGGGGCCCACTTCATATTTGCCAACCTATGGATCCCTGAGAACCATAACCAGGGTTATGATACAGGCTGTGGGAGGAAAAAACTGAGGGCAGGTGTATAACTGACATTTTTGCATCAGACAAGTGTAATTAGTACCATGTTCCACAGCCTGCAAAATAAGGTCATATTATCTGAATTGCAGATTTCCCCACCTGCTTCCAGTGCAGCCTTGAAGGTGTGACTCTGCTACTGCCATAGATTTTCCCGTTGCTAAAGAGCTGTTCTGTGAACCACATAATGAAGCCACTACTAGGGCTGCGGATCGAAAACTTGGCTGCCCATTAGAATTTCCTGACGAGCTTTGGAAAGCCTGGCTGCCCAGGCCACACCCAGACCAATTGCCTCATCATTTACAGGAGTGTGACCCAGGCATCACTGACTGTGTTGTTTAATCCCCCCAACCAGGTGACTTTAAAAGAACAAGAAAATCTTTTTCTGGGTCTTCTCCCTGTAGATTCTTATTTAATTGGTACAGGTAGCAAACTAAGCATCACGAATTTCTAAAAGCTCTCCAGGTGATTCCAATGTGCAATCACATTTAAAAGTGACTCCTATAGAGAATAGAGACATAAAGAAAAGTCAGAAGTGCTGTGTCTCTGACCCTTGCATCCTGAAGATAAAAGATAAAAGGCCCTTGGAGTGCTTATAAAAGTAAAGTGTTTAGATTAATTCATTGAATTTATTCATTCCCAACTTTTAACAGCCTATGAGCATGAGTCAAACACCAGGCCCAGAAGATAGAAAATACAAAAGAACAAAACAAGCCAGGCATGGTGGTTCATGCCTGTAATTCCAACATTTTGTGAGGTCAAAGCAAGAGGATCACTTGAGCCCAGGAGATCAAGACTAGCGTGAGCAACATAAGTAGACCCTGTTTCTACAAAAAATAAAAAATAGCTGGGTGTGGTGACATGCCTGTGGCCCCAGCTATTCGGCAGGCTGAGGTGGGAAGACGGAGCCTAGGAGGTCGAGGCTGCAGTGAGCCATGACTGTGCCACTGCACTCCAAATAAAAAAAAAAAAATGAAGAAAAGAAAGAAAACAACAAAACCCTGGAGCTCAGAATCCATCCAGCTCAAGTGTTAAAATAATGTACAATAGATGTGATAAAACAATTAGAATATGCATACATTTCTGGGGGATAGGAGGATGTAAAATAGACAAAATGGAACAGCCACTTTGGAAAACAGTTTGGCATCCACTTAAACATAAACTGACCATATGATACAGCAACTGCACTCTTAGGTATTTACCCAAAAGAAATAAAAATACAGATCAATACTTATTGTTACTTATTATTGTATATAAATGTTTATGGCAGCTTTATTTTTAATCACTAAAAACTGCAAACTACCAGAATGTATTCGTTGTCTATTGCTGTACAACAAGTTAACACAAATATCATGGCTTTAAAAAATGCACATGTATTATCTAAAGTCTGGTCATGGCTTAGCTGCTTCAGTTCTCAAAGTGTTAGCTAGGCTGCAATCTCATTTGGAGGCTTGACTGGGGAAGAATTTGATTCCAGGCTTACTTAGACTGTTGACAGAATTTATTGTCTTGCTTCTGTATGACTGAGGATACTAGTTTTTCTCTGCCTGTTAGCTGAAGACTGCCTTTAGCTTCTAGAGACCACCCTTAGCTCTTTACCAAATGGACTTCCTCTACTTTATCTGCACAGCAAAGAGTGTGTAAAATGAGTCTGCTGGTAAAACAGTCTCATATAAGGTAACGTAATCATGAGAGTAGCATTACCTTTGCTATATTCTATTGGTTAGAAACAAATCATAGATCCCATCCACACTTATGAGGGGAAGATGAATCAAATACATAAACACCAGGAGGCAGGAATTACAGGAGTCACCTTAGAGTCTGTCCACCACACCATGGGTGTATCAGCTAGGAAATGGATAAGCACACTGTGGTATATGCATACATAAAGCAATGAAGTATAAAATGCACACAATGAAACACTAGTCAGCAATAAAAAAAGGATGAACTACTAACACACATAAAACATAAATAGTTCTTAAGTGAATTATGCTAAATGAAAATAGCCAAAATCAAAAGGTTGCATACTGAATTATCCCATGTTTATTATCTTAGAGAAAAGGTAATACCACAAGGACAGACAAAGATTTGTGGTTGTCAAGGGCTCAGCGTGTGGGCACCAATCGAATTGACTGCAAAGAGGCATGAGGGAACTTTTCTGAGTAATGGAAGTGTTCTATATCTTCATTATGACAGGTAGTTATACAACTGTATGCATAATTCAAGATTCATAAAGCCCAAAAAGGTGAATTTTACTATACAGTATACAAATTATACCTCAGTAAACCTGACTTTAAAAAATAAATGGACAAGCTGGGCGCCGTGGCTCACGCCTGTAATCCCAGCACTTTGGAAGGCTGAGGCGGGCAGGTCACGAGGTCAGGAGATCAAGACCATCCTGGCTAACATGGTGAAACCCCATCTCTACAAAAAAATACAAAAAATTAGCTGGGCATGGTGGCGGGCGCCTGTAGTCCCAGCTACTCGGGAGGCTGAGGTAAGAGAATGGCGTGAACCCAGGAGATGGAGCTTGCAGTGAGCAGAGATCATGCCACTGCACTCCAGCCTGGGCGACAGAGCGAGAGTCTGTCTCAAAAAAAAAAAAAAAAAAAAAAAAGGACAGAGTGAGAAAGAAGCTATCAGCAGACAGGAAAGGTCCCTTTGATCCTGTTCACAGTGCATGCTCTAGTGAGAAGCCCCTGGAGAAATTTCAGTAAAGCCAATAATATAAGTTGTTTATAAATACTATACTACTAATGCATTTACTAATTGCTTATTTTATGTAAGCTTTGAATGCTGCTTTCATCATTAAAAGCACGTAATGTATGGGCAGAGTGTGAGGTTGCTAAAAATAGAGGGGCAGGACTGATCCTCTGAGTAGCCAAAATATTAAAGTCAAAGTCTTCAGGTAGACTACAAAAACAAAACAAGACAAAACAAAAGAACATCACCATTTATTCAGAAATAACTTCTTCAAACAGGTTGTAGTAAAGCCAGGCATAAAAAGCCCAGATGGCATTTAAAATCACCTGATGGCATTCTGTCCCTGTTTACAGGTCTACAAACTTAATCCTGCTTAGCATATTTCAGAGGGCAGCCTATGACAGAGGGACAGGGAATGCTTATCAAGGGCTTTATATTTCTAACAGTGGATTCAGACCAACCCTCTGACCAAACATCTGTCAATACACCTCTGAATTTCCAGGCAATGTCAACCCTTATAACCAAGACACATTGTAGAGAGATATGAAAGAGACTCATCATAGGCAGAAACTTTGACTTAGTAAAAAAAAAAAAATTGATGAAAACCACTGAAGAATTATAAACATGAGGAGGGAGGAATGACATTTGTACCTTAGGAATGTTCACACTTTAAGCAGTATGAAAGATGAACTTCAGGGGCAACACTAGAAGCCAGGAGAGCAGTTAGGATACGATTACGCAACACCAGAAAACAAAAGATGAGCAAAGGCAGTCAAAACAAGTAGAGGAAGGGAGAGATTTATTGCAGTATTATTTGGAAGATAGAGTCAATAGGGGATAGCAAAAGACTGAGATGATGAAAGCTGTGTGTCTGGCTTGGGTAACTTCATAGATACCCAATAAAAGACAAGTAGGGATTGGAGATATAAGGAATTTGTTTTTCAGACTCTGAGTTTGATACAGGTGGAGATTTCTGGTAGACAGGTAGCTATGATCAGGACTTCAGTTAAAAATACTGGGTTAGAGAAAAAGAAGAGATCATCATGGCAGACCAGAGACAGGACTAGATTGCAGCGCCAACTCAGACAGAGAGAGCAGTGTGCGGAGGCTTGCATCACAAATTTTAGCTCCAGAACGACTGCAGGAATGAATCAGGAATCCCAAGAGGACCCACAGACCCTCTGAAGAAAGCAGACTGCTCCTGCAGGACCCGGGAGACACCCCAAATACTGTGCTGGTATCCACAGCTGAGAGATCCATAGATGGTTCACGTCATAGGAATCTGTGTAGACAACCCCCTGTACCAGCCCTGAGCTTGGTAGACTTGCTGGGCAGCTAGATACAGAAGATAGATAACAATTCTACCAGATATTCAAAGAAGAATTGTTACCCATCCTATTGACACTATTTCACAAGATAGAGAAAGAGGGAACCCTCCCTAATTTATTCTATGAAGCCAGCATCACCGTAATACCAAAACCAGGAAAGGACATAATCAAAAATGAAAACTACAGACAGATATCCCTGATAAACATGGATGCTAAAATCCTTAACAAAATACTAGCTAACCAAATCCAACAACATGTCAATAAGATAATTCATCATGGTCAAGTGGGTTTCATACCTAGGGATGCAGGGGTGGTTTAAAATATGGAAGTCAATAAATGTGATACACCACATAAACAGAATTAAAACAAAATCACGATTATTTCAATAGATGCAGAAAAAGCATACGACAAAATCCAGCACCCTTTATGATTAAAACTCAACAAAATTGGCATATAAGGGATACAACTCAATGTTATAAAAGTCATCTATGACAAACCCACAGCCAACATGATACTGAATGGGGAAAAGTTAAAAGCATTCCCTTTAGGAACTGGAACAAGACAAGGATACCCACTCTCTCCACTCCTCTTCAACATAGTACTGGAAGTCCTAGCCAGAGCAATCAGACAAGAGAAAGAAATAAAAGGCATACAAATTGGTAAAGAGGAAGGTAAACTGTCACTGTTTGCTGACGATATGATTGTTTACCTCAAAAACCTTAAAGACTCCTCCAGAAAGCTCCTAGAACTGATAAAATAATTCAGCAAAGTTTCTGGATACAAGTTTAATGTACACAAATCAGTAGCTCCCCTATACACTAACAGCGACCAAGTGGAGAATTAAGAACTCAACCACTTTTACAGTAGCTGCACACACACATACACACACACACACACATACACACACACACAAATACTTAGGAATGTACCTAACCAAGGAGGTGAAAGACCTCGAGAAGGAGAACTACAAAAGGCTGCTGAAAGAAATCACAGAGAACACAAAAAATGGAAATACATCTCATGCTCATGGATGGGTATAATCAATATTGTGAAAATGACCATACTACCAAAAGCAATCTACAAATTCAATGCAATCCCCATCAAAATACCCCCATCGTCCTTCACAGAATTAGAAAAAACAATTCCAAAATTCATATGGAACCAAAAAAAAGCCCACATAGCCAAAGCAAACCTAAGCAAAAAGAACAAATCTGGAGGCATCACACTATCTGGCTGCAAACTATACCATAAGGCCATACTCACCAAAACAGTATGGTACTGGCATAAAAATAGGTGCATAGACCAATGGAACAGAATAGAAAACCCAGAAATAAACCCAAAAACTTACAGCCAACTGATCTTTGACAAAACAAACAAAAACTTAAAGTGGAAAAAGCACACCCTTTTCAACAAATGGTGCTGGAATTATTGGCTAGCCACATGTAAGAGAATGAAACTGGATCCTCATCTCTCACCTTATACAAAAATCAACTCAGGATGGATTAAGGACTTAAATCTAAGAACTAAAACTATAAAAATTCTAGAAGATAACATTGGAAAACCCCTTCTAGACATTGGCATAGGTAAGGATTTTATGACCAAGAACCCAAAAGCAAGTGCAATAAAAACAAAGATAAATAGCTGGGACTTAATTAAACTAAAGAGCTTTTGCATGGCAAAAGGAATGCTCAGCAGAGCAAACATACAATCCAAAGAGTGGGAGAAAATCTTCACAATCTATACATCTGACAAAGGACTAATATCCAGAATCTACAATGAACACGAACAAATCAGCAAGAAAAAAACAAACAATCCCATCAAACAGTGGGCTAAGGACATGGATAGACAATTCTCAAAAGAAGATATACAAATAAACAACAAACATGAAAAAAATGCTCAACATCACTAATGATCAGAAAAATGCAAACCAAAACCAGAATGCAATACCACCTTACTCCTGCATGAGTGGCCATAATCAAAAAAATAAAAAAACAGTAGATGTTGGCATGGATGCAGTGATCAGGGAACACTTCTACACTGCTGGTGGGAATGTGAGCTAGTACAGCCGCTATGGAAAATAGTGTGGAGATTCCTCAAAGAGCTGAAAGTAGAACTATCATTTGATCCAACAATCCCACTACTGGGTATCTACCCAGGGGAAAAGAAGTCATTATAAGAAAAAGATACTTGCACATATATGTTCATTGCAGCACAATTTTCAATTGTAAAATTGTGGAACCAACCCAAATACCCACCAATCAATAAGTAGATAAAGAAACTGTGGTATATATAAACGATGGAATACTACTCAGCCATAAAAAAGGAACAAATTAATGGCATTCACAGCGACCTGGATGAAATTGGCGACTATTATTCTAAGTGAAGTAACTCAGGAATGGAAAACTAGACATTGTATGTTCTCACTGATATGTGGAAGTTAAGCTATAAGGATGCAAAGGCATAAGAATGATACAATTCTTTGGGGAGTTGGGGGTAAGCGTGGGAGGGGGCAAGGGATAAAAGACTACAAATAGGGTGCAGTATATGCTGCTTAGATGATGGGTGCATTAAAATCTCACAAATTACCACTAAAGAACTTACATAACCGAACACCACCTGCACTCCAATAATCTATGGAAAAATAAGTAAATAATAAAGAAATAAATAAATTTTAAACAGCGATGAGCATCCTTGGGACAACTAGCACAAGCGCTGCAAGACTGGGGGCAAGAGAAAGCCCTACCACAAGAAGCGAAAGTATGAGCTGGGGTGCCCGGCTGGTTGCCAACACCAAGATTAGCCCTGCCGCATCCACACAGTCCATGTGCAGGGAAGAAATGAGAAATACTGTGCCCTGAGGCTGGACAAGGGGAATTTCTCCTGGGGCTCAGAGTGTTGTACTTGCACAACAGTGATCATCGATGTTGTCTACAATGCATTCAATAACGAGCTGGTCCGTACCAAGACCCTGGTGAAGAAATGCATCATGCTCATCAACAGCGCACCATACCAACAGTGGTACCAGTCCCACTATGCGCTGCCCCTGGGCCGCAAGAAGGGGACCAAGCTGACTGCTGAGGAGGAGGAGATTTTAAACAAAAAGCGACCTAAAAAAATTCACAAGAAATACGATAAAAGGAAACAGAATGCCAAAATCAGCAGTCTCCTGGAGGAGCAGTTCCAGCAAGGAAGGCTTCTTGCATGCATCACATCAAGGGTGGGACAGTGTGGCCAAGCAGATGGCTATGTGCTAGAGGGCAAGGAGATGGAGTTCTGTCTTAGGAAAATCAAGGCCTGGAAAAGCAAACACATCCTCATCCTTTCTGTCTTTGCCCATGTAATAAAAGTGTTTATTGCTCTGTGAAAAAAAAAAAAAACTGGGTTAGAGAAAGAATTTCATGCCAACATATAAGGGCAAGTGGAAACTGTGGGTGAGTTGGCTTATAAGGAGTACAAGCCATATTGAGTAGGTTGGATAGTGAATGTGGAAGAAAGAAACAGAAATAGTTGTGAACAAGAGAGACAATGCCTTGCTAGGAGCATTTTTTTACCATTTCCCTGAATGTTGGCAGGGTTTTTCTTTTTGATTTTTTTTTTTCTTCAAGAAAATGCCAGAGCACTAAGAAAAACTTGAGAGCATATGATAAGATGCTGCTCATATCCAAGTGGAGATACAAATTACTCCAACTGGGAGAAGGTAAAAGAACACTCCAATAAGAAAATAAGAGACAAGGTCCTAAGTCAAAACAGAGTCACAGTACATGGCAAAGAGGAGGATGCTAACTGGGAAGACAGTCACGTTCTTGCTTGGTGCCTATAAGGATGAATGCTGAAACAATACTCAAGTGTTGCTCAAGTAATGAAAACCTGGAAGTAATCTGCTTTGATTGAAATTTCCCATTGGTTCTATTTCTCTTACGAACTTGTGGTGCATGCTTGCATATGAAGCACTGCTCATTTACCGGTGAGGAAAACGAGGCTCCTCCAAGATTTTCCAGCTGGACTCAGCACACTGTGCTGGAAAAAGACTTGACTAACCATCTAGTTCATCTCTTGGTCTCCTAGGGAGAAGAAAGCAACAACTGCTGCTCCAAAGGCAAGTGCAGTACAAGTCGACATCTGGGAAACTAGCTGCCAAGTGTTGTCTGGTGGTAAAGCACTGAAGTGATGACCTTGAGATGTCCCAGGTGGTCACCACATACCTGCCACTGACTGGGTGAGCTTGAACAAGCTACTGACATTCACTGGCCTCAGAGATTCCACATCTATACACAAGAGAGTCACCTAGTTTTGATAATTACTGGGGTTCTGTCAGGATCCAAAGTTTCATTACTTGAATTATTTCTTACTTGCTTACCTTCTTTCGGTCTTTCATATCTCCACCCTTAAGATGATTTAAACAAAAGAAATCGAAGTTCACATCCAATATTTTTATATACTATTCCCAAATAGCTTTGGGGTACGAGTGGAGAAATGTTTATGATAACTAAGCTAACAAAGCAGGGCAGAACCAAAAAGGTAGGGAGTAGCAATCCGTATATATTTTACAATGAGAATAGTCAACAGAGCTTTGCATTATCCAGGTAACACACAGGGAAAGCTGGTTTTTAGCTTAACCCATTTTGGAGTATTCGTATTTGTAAATTACGTAGGTTGCATTATGTCCACTTAACCATAATGTTGCAGGTATGAAGCACTCTGGTGAATATTATTATTATTAATTGAATTACACTATGGATTAATAGTTCTCTGTGAATCAGAATTCAGTAAAATTGAACACCAGGCTAAATGTAATAGAAACATTATGAGGATGTAGAGGAAGATTAGGATTCTGATAAAAGCCTTCAAGATGGAATAAATAAGATTAATTTAGCAATAAATGTTTTTGAGTGTTTATTATATACACATCTTTGTGCTAGGAGTTGTAGGATTTCAGTTTTCTGATCTGAACTTGAAAGGAAATTTTACTATATTTGGAGTTTTTTAATTGGGAACATTCTCATGCCTACTAGGGAAGTTAAATGTTAATCTCTTATCAGGAAGTACCACAACCATTTCTTTAGATTACTCTATGATAATATATTAGGAGTAAGAGGTTTCTGCTTTAAAAGGAGTTATTTTTAAAAGTTTTCTATAAACAAAACCAAACAAAAGCAGGTACTTCAAATTTCTCCTTGGACACCTCCGCGTTAAGCAAACAGTTTTGTTCACGCTTCCCTTCGAGTTTGCCTCATTCTTTGGGGCTGCACTGACATGCTTTTCACAAAGCAAGAAAGTCTTCACTGTCTTGTTTTGCTGCTCCCTATCAAAGGCATGCTGGGTGATGCCCATCAAAGTCACAACTGCAGCTGAGTAACATACTGATGCCACCTACCAGGCTGTGGGCACCATCAGGGAAGGCTACTTAGCAGCCGCCTGAACTTTCTGAAATGGCCTAACATTGCTCCTCTGCTTGGTCTTCCTGGTGAATTCCCAGGCAGAAGTTAGTGTCCTGCTTTCCCCAAGGGACAAGCTGCCTGAGGACACTGGTCCCTGGGAAGCCCACCGTCCCAGGCTGGCCCAGCTCAGCTCAGACCAACTGCTGACTAAGGAGCCCCCAGCTTCAGCAGCTGAACCACAAAAAGGTTGTACTTCCCTCCCACAGAGAGACAGTTTATTGCTTTAAGTAGTTGGGGGTAGGCAGGAGGGTCTCTGAAGAGCAGTATACAATTCTAAATGGCTCTTTTTAATATCTATGAGTTTGAATCCCTAGCACATACCTGAACAAATACCAGCATAACTGCTTTCATTAGAAGGAAGAACTAAAGTCTTTTCTTCAGAAACACTGTGTGTTCCCCAGGAAAACTGTGAACAAATAAAGTCTCATGGTCTTCAGACTCCTGTTTCTTGGCATTTAAAAGATTACAGGCCTACTTTAGGGAAACTAAATGTTAACAACCCTTTCTTAGAGATCACTCCAATAAATGTTATAGAAGGGGCATCAGACTTGGATTCAAAAGCCTGAGGACTGATTCTCATCCCTTCTTCTTGCCAAGTGTATAAATCAGGAAGGTTCATTTCACCCCTCTGTATCTTGGTTGACTCAACAGTAAAATGAGGATGGAATAGTTGTAAAAGTTACATAAGGTAACACCAGAAACATAGTAAGACTTGATAGATATTCCAAGAACAAAAATCCTATCATGGGCCAGGCGCAGTGGCTCACACCTGTAATCCCAGCACTTTGGCAGGCTGAAGCAGGCGGATCACTTGAGGTCAAGAGTTCAAGACCAGCCTGACCAACATGGTGAAAGCCCATCTCTACTAAAAGTACAAAAATTAGCCAATTGTGGTGGCAGGCACCTGTAATTCCAACTACTAGGAAAGCGGAAGCAGGAGAATCCCTTGAACCCAGGAGGCAGAGGTTGCAGTGAGCTGAGATTGCACCCACTGCACTCCAGTCTGGGTGACAAAACTAGACTCTGTCTCAAAAAAAAAAAATAGGAAAAGTAAGAAAATCCCATCATGAACACGAAACATTTCCTGACTAGCCTGGCTACCAGGGAGCCGCCTCCTCGTGAGCTGCCAGTCTTCATGTGTTTCTCTTCCTTCCCTGCATGGGGATCAGCTTGATTCTTTGTTGTTGTTGTTTATTTCCCATAGCACCAAGTGCAATCCTTACACCCAGCAGGTATTCAATAAATACTAATTGGTTGATTGATTAAACTTGAATTTTAACACCATCTCAGCAACTTTGAAAATCAGAGAACCCCTTATGCAAACACTAAAGTCATTTACCCAGCAAACATAAGTTTTAGGAGAGCTTTGCTTCTGTAAAAAAAAAAAAAAAAAGCATTGGCCCTGGAAAGAAAAATACTTAGATTCAAAACGCTTTTTGTTTTGCCGCATACTGAGTGAACTTGGGCAAGTTACTCAAATGGAGGCAATACAATCCATCCCACATGACTCTTCTAAGAATCGAATAAGATACAAAGTGTCTAGTACATTGTTAGTGTCAAGAATGATGAGGTTCTATTGAACAATAGCAAGAATAAATAAAATACATAAACATTAAGTTTCTTCTATTCATTCTTTGGTAGGTCATTTTTAATTAAACTAAGACATGTTATTGATATACTCAGATTCATGTTGCCCCCACCCCCACCAATTTAAACAAGGGTGAGCTATGTAATTTGGCCAGCAGCTTTGGAGAGGAAACTTGGAGTTACAGGATACCCTGAAACTGCGGGTACACATAAGCAACAAATCCTAAAAGGTACTTAGAACTCTCAAATATTGGTTTGAAAGCAGGTAGTTAGGCTTCACAGGATAAGGATAACTGGTTATGTGACCTGGCAAGAACAGTAACAGGCTGTCAGCAAATACTTCCCTTCCAGAGATGGTCTTGGGAACCTACATAATAATGTGGGAACGAAATCAATGTTGGCAAAGCATTTTTTTTTTTCTTTGAAACAGGGTCTCACTGTGTCGCCCAGGCTGGAGTGCAGCAGTGCAATCTTGGCTCACTGCAACCTCTGCCTTCCAGGTTCAAGCAATCCCCCTACTTCAGTCTCCCGAGTTGCTGGGATTACAAGTGTGTACCACCATACCCGGGTAATTTTTGTATTTTTAGTGGAGATGGGGTTTCACCATAATTGCCAGGCTGGTCTCGACTCCTGATCTCAGGTGATCCACCCGTCTCGGACCCCAAAGTGCTGGGATTACAGACGTGAGCCACCATGCCCGCCCAGCAAAGCATTTTTAATACCGGCAAATTGCAAAGAACAGAATATTTGAGATGGAAAAAAAACGGAGCATTTATTGGACACTTGCTCTCTACTGATCATTGTACTAGACACATAAAACTGTTTTCCTATTTGATTTCTTACATTACAGAAGAATTTAGATCCAGAGAGTTAAGACTGATGTGATATCACAGAGAGAGTTAATATTAAGGCCAGGATTAGAACCCAGAGAATAAAAACATCTTTAACTCTCATTCTTTTCACAGCAATCTCTTACTCATCAGGCAGGAAAAGCCCTGCAATTCCTGCTTTACCAGGATAGAAAGAAGTTCCTCCCCACCACCACTTCTCAGCATGGTTAAAGAATCCTGAAGAAGCTGCATCCCCCACTTGTACTCCCCCGCCTCCATGCTCTACTAAAAGATGCTACACAGCACATGATGCAATTTAAACATAGAAGGGCAATTAAAAAAACCATACAAGGAATAAAGAATATCTAATTGATTGCCTTCATTTTATACTGGAAGAAATTGAGGCCTAGCAAAGCTAAATAATTTGCAAAAGGCATAAGAGAAGACAACAGGAGAAATATAACCCCAATCCCAGGGACCATATTCCAGTGTCTATTGGACAAGAGATCAAATATTCTTTTTTGTTACCTTTTGTCTTCTGGACACTGTAAATCTGTGGCTCCTGAACCTAAGCAAGCATCAGAATCATCTGAAAGGTTTGTTAAAGGCTAGATACATCAGACCCACCCCACAGTTTCTGATTTGATAAGTCCAGGTTGGGGCCTAAGATTTCCTCTCTAACATTTCCAACAATGCTGATGCTGCTGGTCCGGAGACCACATTTTAAAAAAATCACTTTTGTAGAATTGATGCCTGTTTTCATGTTTTAACTCTTTACTTTAGAGCCGAAGTTCCTCTTTCCAACCTGTTAAGAAGACAACTGTAAGTTCTGATCAAGCTTGACTGGGATTGCAAATGCAGAAAGAAATATCTCTAGGCAAGTGCAGTAGTCACTCTCGCACAAAAACTTCTGGACATAATCTGTGCAAATCATGACAGGGTCTTGGAGGCAATGGGGTCTTTAACTTTGTCTATTCCATATTTTTTCAGAGACGCCACCGGCAATCTATTAGAGCAGTGCTCACAACCTTTTCCAGGTTGGGACATACCCAGCAAAGGATAATTTTTGTACCACACAGGAATAAAAATAGAGGCTCCTAAAGGCTAGAAGAAGCCTGCCAGGGTTCTCTGGACACTCCAGGCCCTATAAAAACCTTGCCATCCACATGGCTAGGGGGATAAAAGCTTTTTCCAATATGAACTGATTCATGGCACCTCAGTATGCTAAACATAAAACGCCCCCAATATTAGTCCTTTCCTTTTTATTAAAGATAGCAATGGGATCCCAATTATCAAAAGTCATTAAAATATAAACATCTTAAGCAAGGAGAAAAAAATTGCCTGAAAGGGTGAACATTGTGGCTAAATAGTAACTAAGGAGACTAGAACTCACATTATTTTCCAGTTCTTAGATTCTGTGCCTGCATTTTATTTACTTTTTTGTTGTATAAGAATAATTTTATTTGACTCATTCTTCATGTCATTAAAACCCCCTTGATGCCGATTTCAATGAGTCTAAGAAAACATTTATGTTAGATATATCATTACTGGGTATATCACTAAGAAATGATTCTGCCAATAAAAAAATATGGCCCATGCTTTCCTATTACCTAGGAGTAGAACTTTAAGCTTACAGGAGCTCTTTTAAATTCACTTAGACTTAGTTTCCATATGTCACTCATAGTTCACCCATTAAAAAAAATAAGCTAATCTCATCACTTCCTATTCTGCATATGACACTTATCACTTCATGACTCCTTATGATACCTGTCCTTTTCCGCTCCATACCATGCTTCAGTTCATCATTAATGGTGATGCAACTTTAAAAAAAAAAACTGATAAACTAATGTCTCTAGAATTTTCTTTCAGGCCTCCAAGAACCATTCTGCAAGTTTTAATGTCCATGCTCAAAAATGATCACTATATTCCAGTATCACTGGCCTATGATGATTACAAGATGTACTCTCAGTTCACAAATGTGAAAACACTTCTTAAATATATCTTAGAGTGAATAAAACATGGAAATTCTATTTAATATTGCTAAGAGCTCATGGAGAAGCAATGGCCCTGAGTTTCACAATGACCACATATTCTCTTTATGAAAGTGTGCCCTCCTTAATATAACAAGGCCTGCTCATGACATTTAAATCTCCTTTTCTTGGAGTCTTCTTTGAAGGAAATCATCTTTTGAAGGAAATTCTGAGCTACTTTTCTCAACTGTTGCCTCTAGAGTAGACACGACTGCAGATGATTCTAGTCAATTTCTTTGGACGCGCACAGGGCTTAGCAAATCATATTCCTTTTTTGAGTAGGGTCTTGCTGTGTTACCCAGGCTGGAGTGCAGTGGCATAATCATGGATCACTGCAGGATCCACCTCCCAGGCCCTCCCAAGTAGCTGGAACTACAGGCACACATCACCATGCCTGTGTAATTTTTTTTTTTACCAGGTCTCACTATGTTGCCCAGGCTGGTCTCAAACCCCAGTGCTCAAGTGATTCTTTCATCTTGGCCTTCCAAAGTGCTGAGATTATAGGTGTGATCCACCATATCTGGCCTCAGATTGTTCTTTATGTGCCATGCAATATTTATATGTCAAACTCTTTGCCAGCACTACAAACTAAGCATTGTCCTAGATTGTCATAAAACCACTACATCCCAGCTTACTTCCAACAGGACTCTCGGCTGGGAGTCACACTGAAAGTCCCTAGGAAGGCAGCCTTTTCTGGGTGGAGTAAACATCCAGACTGCTAAGATATTTTTTATTCAAATCAGTTCAACAAGTACTTTGTCTGAAGTTCAACAGCACTCTTTTTTTAAATTAATTTTTTTTTAATTTTCAAAAATCATATGTTTATAGTATAAACATAACCTTTTGATGTATGCATACATTGAGAAGTGACTAAATCAAGCTAAATAACACATTTATTACCTCATATGCATTTTTTTAGTGATAATATTTAAAATCTATTCCTAGAAATTTTCAAGAATACAATACCATTAACTATAATCATGTTTTATAGCAGACATCCTAAACTTAATCCTCCTCCATAACTGAAATGTTATATCCTTTGACTACCATATGATCCATCAATTCGACTTCTGGGTACATATCCAAAAGGAATGAAATTAGGATGTCAAAGAGATATCTGCACTCCCCTGTTCATTGAAGCATTATTCCCAGTAGCCAAGATATGGAAACAACCAAAGTGCCCATCAATGAATGAATGGATACAGAAAACGTGGTATATACACACAATGGAATACTAATCAGCCTTTTAAAAAAAGGAAATACAGTCATTTGTGATAACATGGATAAACCTTGAGGACATTCTGCTAAGTGAAAGAAGTCTAGACATAGAAAGACAAATACTTCATGATCTCATATATGAAACTCAGCACTCTTAAGTCTGGGTTGTTTAGGGGTGAGGGTTACAGATTTTTATAGCAAAGACAGTCAGTCCTCTCCTCAAAAAGCTGGTGCTTTGTCTAAGGAAACAAGGCTAGGCCACATGAAATAATGAAGGAAAAACTGAAGATACAGGTAAATCTCAAATATTTCATTGAAGTCAAGAAGTACTGCAAATGCCAAGCAGAAAATATTGGGAGTAGTTGTGGATTGTAGTATTGGCTGGAGTTATCAGGAGACATTTTATGGTGAACATGGATATAAGTTTGTTCCTGAAGGATGCAGGGAATTCAGTAACACAGAAAAACAGTTCAAAGTAAACATGAACAAAACTCCAGAGATGGGTACACAGATGTGTAAAGATGGAGTTAGGTGGGCTACATGTAGATGATGAAGCCCACATATGTCACCAAAGCAGCACAAGCACAGATACGTAAATATTTAATATGGACTTCATTCCACAATCAGAAGAATCTTTATCGTCTCAGCCAGAGGACTTGGGAGCCTTGGAGTAAAAGTCTGAAAGAGTATCATATGAATATAATTGTCCTTAGGTACTTTTGTGGCAGGCCAGATTTCACTAACACAGGCCTCCATAACAACTGTTTCAGCACTGACTAAGTGGTTAAGTTAAATATTAAAAGCCGAAAGAGCCAGTACCTTTATACAAAGGCTGGAATGTAACAAAAGCCCACCAAGAGTTTTGCCTAGGCATTTCCTGGGCCTTAAAGCATGACAAAATAATGAAGGAATTCTTAAAAGGACCTGTTTAGGATTAAATAAGTTTTATTGGGGGCCTGAAGAAACTCCCCAGGCCTCTGCAAACAAGTTTATTGAGGGTCTGAAGGAACTCACCAAACCTCCAAGATTTAGTAGGAGACAAGATAAGGGCAATCATCCCAGCACCTGGACCCATTTAGATTAAGTAAACTCACTGAGGCTCCAGAAGAAGGTCTTCAGGACTCAGACATTAGTTACAGATTAAAAGAAGTTAATCAGTTATGTCTTTAGATGAATGCACACTTACACATAGACATATAGCTTAGAAGGTACATAAAGCTCTGGAAGACTTTGTCATTTTGAGTTGGTCTGGTGATATTTTCCATGTCTTCTCCCTGTAACTGGTTACAGAAATAAAAAATCTCTTCCTCCCCAGTTCATTATTGGACCACAAGAAATAGAGCCCAACACTCAGTTTGGTCTGGGAACACCTTCTCCATCTTCCAAGTATATGTGAGACACAGATAACACTAGATCAAGTAATAAATCACTTAAGCAACTATGTTTTATATAACTAGATGCAGTTACTTTTAATTGCATATACCTGAATACACTCCACTTATCTATACCCATGGGTGGCTATCTTTGTGGCATTCATAGTCCAGGTATATTGTCTACAAAAACCTACCTTAGTCCCTTAACAAAGGACATAAGATTAGAAGTTACATTCTCCAAACAAATAAAACCTGAATATATTGATGTCAGGTATCTCTTACTACAATATAAAGTCATATTTATATTAAATATCCTTAATGATAGCCTTAGCCTAATTGTTCTCAACTGGGAGGAATTATACCACACAGGGTATATTTGGGAATGTATGGAGGTATTTTGGTTGTCACAAATGGGTTGGGGGTTGCTACCAGAATCTCATATGTATAGAAGCCAAGGATGCTTCTAAACATCTTACGATGCAGAGGACAACCCTCCACACAGAAAAAATAATAATAATTACTATCTGGCCCTAAATGTCAGTGGTGCCAAGGTTGGGAAACCCCTCTTAACTCTTACCAGTTTACATGATGATTAAAACACACACACATACACTTAAAAAATGCAACCTCATTCTCTTTCCTATGCTAGATATTTTAAGAACTCTCCAAGAAGTTGTCTCAAATGGTTTTCCCAGTTGAGTACTTTTAAGTCCAAATAATAAAATACCTGGACCAAATACAGCTTTAGAAATAAATTATTTTGCATAAGTCTAGAGATAGGTATATCCAGGGTTGCTTAACTCAGAAAATCAGTGGCATTGGGTTTTCAGATACTTTTCTAGTTTTTTTGGGTTTGTGGCTCTCCTCTCTGATCACTATATTAAGTTGAAAAACTTTCTCCCAAAAGTTATCCATGTCCTAATCTCTAGAACCTGTGACTATTACTTTATATAAGAAAAAAGGTTGTTTGCAGATATGATTGGATTAAGGAGCTTGAGGTGGGGTAATTATCCTGGATTGTTAGGGTAGACCCTAGATGGAATCTCACATATCCCTATATGAAGAGGGCAAAAGGATATTTGATAACACGCAGAGGAGGAGATGAAAAGACAGAGCAGGAGAGATTTGAAGATGCTGGCCTTAAAAATGGGCATAATAGGGTCATAAGCCTGGAAATGCTGACAGCCACCAGAAGCTGGAAGAGACAAAGATTCTCCCCCAGAGCATCCAGAGGAAACAAGACCTTGCTGACACCTTGATTTTGGCCCGATTATACTAATTTTGGACTTCTGATCTCTGAAATTGAGAGAGAGTAATGTTTCGTTGTTTTAGGGCTGCAAGATTGTGGTAATTTGTTAACGGCAGTCACAAAACGGCTGCCACAAATTCAGGTAACACTTCCTCCTACAGCTGATTCTGGAAGAAGACAGAGAACCTCTTCTCATGCATCAATTACTTTTTTCCTTAAATAAACAAAACAAAAGAGGAAAAACTTTCTGAGCAGCCTCCAGTAAGTTTTTCCATAGGTTAGGTCTCAATGGCCAGAATAATGTCACATGCCTACAGCTAAAACAGTCACAAGAAAAGGAAAATAACGTAATCATGATTAGCTTAAATCAATCATAGTGCTTCCTCTAAGGCCCAAGGGAGGCCAATCTTTCCTGAGTGCATTGTTCTGTGGTTAAAACAAGACTTTGTATACATGGAAGAATGGTCTGAGAGCTGTTAGGTAGGCACCCGACAGTGGCAGTTTTCTTCACCCTGCCCATGTGGCCATGTCTGCTGTGATGGTGCCAGGACTGCTCACCGTAGTCAGCAGTTCTCAAAGAGGCTCTCCGCCACTGCCATTGAATGGGGCTCTGCAAGATGTCACTGCACTGCCCTCAGCTCCTTCATCCCAGTCCCTGGAAATTCCTTTCCGCTTCATGCAATGGATGAGCTCCTTGTATTAGACTTCATAGTCAAGAAATAAAGTTCTCCTCGTTATGGGGAAGCTGTGATTTGAGATGAGGATGATTTGTCACTGGAAAGGAGGTGAGTGGGAAATAAGATCAATACCTTCCTTGGATTCACTTTTACTTCTATCTGTTTTCTACAGACCTGGATTTTCACTGAAATTATTTTAGTAGCTGCAGCAGCCCAATCTACACCAGCCTGACTTGGATTATTTCCAAAGTTTCTTGTGCCCAGCAGAGTTAAAGATTGCATCTCTCTCCCTCCTTTAAGCTTCTTCATCATTCTCCTTCAAGTTCTCACCCACAGCAGTAATACAGCATTAATAAAAGCCTAATATAGAATGTTCATATTTCTCTGCTTTGATCCTGGACTGGGGGCTGCCAGGTCTAGGCTAGCAGCTGGCCTAGGGTAATTCTCCTCCCCCACACTGTCTTCCCCCTGCTGCACTATACCGGCGTTAGGCCTGGAGGGCAGGAGCAAGAGACAGTATCCAAAGGTAACAGGCCTATCAAATTACATAAGTAACCTGCATTTCTTTTCTTTTCTTTTCTTTTCTTTTTTTTCTTTTTTTTTTTTTTTTTTTTTTTTTTTTGAGATGCAGTCTTGCTCTGTCGCCAGGCTGGTGTGCAGTGGTGCCATCTCGGCTCACTGCAACCTCCGCCTCCCAGGTTCAAGCGATTCTCCTCCCTCAGCCTCAAGAGTAGCTGGGACTACAGACGCCCGCCACCACGCCCAGCTCATTTTTGTATTTTTAGTAAACAGGGTTTCACCATATTGGCCAGGCTGGTCTTGAACTCCTGATCTCAGGTGATCCACCTGCCTCGGCCTCTCAAAGTGCTGGGATTACAGGCATGAGCCACTGCATCTGGCCAGTAACATGCATTTCTAAGGTTACCATGACTTGCCGCCATGAAGTGGTAACAGGAGAAAACACATTTGTCTACCAGGTGATGGATTACAGGTAAGAGAATATGACCCTGTCAACATCTGTACCATACCCATTTATTAATGTCCATCATAATAGTATAGGACCTTGATATGTATTTAAATAGTCTTATAAATAGACCTTTCATGCTTAGAAATCTCTTTCCAGCATTACTATGATAATGCCTCTTGACAGATTTATCATTTTCTCATTCTATGAACATATTCTCAGCACCTCCTATGTCCAAGGTACATGGCAGGCACTGACGGATACGGATAGTCTCCAGGCACAGCCTGGAGAACGCTCTAGGAGTTTGCAGTACACTGCCGGGCTTCTGCAATTTTTCTACTCCTGCTAGCTGCATACTTCCATATAGACCGTCTGCATATCCCCAGGGAGATTCTGTCAAGGGATAATTTCAGTAATTTGTTTTAAAAAAAAACAATAGGAATACTAAATTTTTTTTTTTTTTTTTTTTTTTTTTTTTTTTTTTTGAGACGGAGTCTCGCTCTGTCGCCCAGGCTGGAGTGCAGTGGCGGGATCTCGGCTCACTGCAAGCTCCGCCTCCCGGGTTCACGCCATTCTCCTGCCTCAGCCTCCCAAGTAGCTGGGACTACAGGCGCCCGCCACTACGCCCGGCTAATTTTTTGTGGAATACTAAATTTTTAAAAATGTTTTGCCAAGCTTCACCCTCCTCACCCCTGCTGTGATTCTGATAAACACTATCTGGGTGAGCTGGGCAGAATCTGCTGTCCAAAGGTGCCCATTAAAGCTATGGTGCAATGAAGCCATTTTCCCCAGGTTGCCACGCTCATTGGCCTCCGCAGGATGTAGACTCCAGCAGGGCACTCCCTCCATGTGGTTATGATGAACACATTGTGCTCCTGTAGACCCACACACAGCACACTCCGCGTCAAGCTTATTGCCAAACATGGGGCTTTCTAATCACTTTGCGTTCAAACAGGGATCCAGGAAGTCCAAACCCAGCCAGCAAAGGCAGAACTGCTCAGCAGAACCAGCTTTAACAGGTGCCGTCGGTTAGTTCTTGGGGAACCTTCTATTGCTCCCATCCTGCTAAAGCATGTGTTGTAGAAGAAAGAGAACAAGCTCTGGTGACAGGTCTGAGGTCACATCCTGGATCTGTCATTTACTGGCAGAGTTTTCTCACATAAGTTAATGTCCGAGCTTCACTCTCATCTTTTCATTTCTTGTTTTTTTTTTTCATTTTACTGTTATTCTTTTTTTAAAAATTTTATTATTATTATACTTTAAGTTTTAGGGTACATGTGCACAACGTGCAGGTTTCTTACATATGCATACATGTGCCATGTTGGTGTGCTGCACCCATTAACTCGTCATTTAGCATTAGGTATATCTCCTAATGCTATCCCTCCCCTCTTCCTCCACCCCACGACAGTCCACGGTGTGTGATGTTCCCCTTCCTGTGTCCATGTGTTCTCATTGTTCAATTCCAACCTATGAGTGAGAACATGCGGTGTTTGGTTTTTTGTTCTTGCCATAGTTTGCTGAGAATGATGGTTTCCAGCTTCGTCCATGTCCCTACAAAGGAAATGAGCTCATCCTTTTTTATGGCTGCACAGTATTCCATGGTGTATATGTGCCACATTTTCTTAATCCAGTCTATCATTATTGGACATTTGGGTTGGTTCCAAGTCTTTGCTATTGGGAATAGTGCCACAATAAACATACGTGTGCATGTGTCTTTACAGCAGCATGATTTATAATCCTTTGGGTATATACCCAGTAATGGGATGGCTGGGTCAAATGGTATTTCTAGTTCCAGATCCCTGAGGAATCGCCACACTGACTTCCACAATGGTTGAACTAGTTTACAGTCCCACCAACAGTGTCAAAGTGTTCCTATTTCTCCACATCCTCTCCAGCACCTGTTGTTTCCTGACTTTTTAATGATTGCCATTCTAACTGGTGTGAGATGGTATCTCATTGTGGTTTTGATTTGCATTTCTCTGATGGCCAGTGATGATGAGCATTCTTTCCTGTGTTTTTTGGCTGCATAAATATCTTCTTTTGAGAAGTGTCTGTTCATATCCATTGCCCACTTTTTGATGGGGTTGTTTGTTTTTTTCTTGTAAATTTGTTTGACTTCGTTGTAGATTCTGGATATTAGTCCTTTGTCAGATGAGTAGGTTGCAAAAATTTTCTCCCATTCTGTAGGTTGCCTGTTCACTCTGATGGTAGTCTCTTGTGCTGTGCAGAAGCTCTTTAGTTTAATTAGATCCCATTTGTTAATTTTGGCTTTTGTTGCTATTGCTTTTGGTGTTTTAGACATGAAGTCCTTGCCCATGCCTATGTCCTGAATGGTATTGCCTAGGTTTTCTTCTAGGGTTTTTATGGTTT